>NC_000006.12:157495032-157646547 GCF_000001405.40 Homo sapiens
ACTACAGCCTCCCATGGTGCCTTTTTGGGATTTTTTTTTTTATTTTTTCATTTCAAAATGGATGCAGAAAAGTATACCCCAAGGAGATTTATAGTGTTTTTTTGCAAACTCCTTCCCCTCAAAGCTTCCATCTGTAGATTCCTCACTAAGCACTGATGAGATGCAAACTTCTATTTTTTGGAGAATTTAAATAAGCTATAATTTTGTTGTCCTATGTAACTATGAGATTTTTTTTTAAAGCAGTCTAAAATGGGAGTTTCTAGAATACAAGCCTTCTGCCTTTCCTGTTTCATTCATTTAACAAATATTTCTGCTGTACGTGCACTGGGTGAGCACTATGAGCAATACAAATGTTAACTGGGCCCATTTCTGCCCTCGAGTTCCTTGCAGCCAGAAAGGCTGCTCATGTATCATGGATGCCTATAATCCCAGCCAGCCAGTGGCTGCTGCCTCTAAGGACGGACTTTGCACAGCATCAGAGACCCCAGAAGCAGGACAACAAACCCAGAGAGGCATGAGGGAAGGAGGTTGTTGGATGGCCATGGGAGGGTACATGACATTTCATCAGGAGAAGATGGCAGGAAAGAGCAGCATTCATAAAGGCAGAGCAGGAGGATGGTGGTGCCAAGCAGTTTTGGGAAATGTTGAGAAGTTCGGGTTGAATTTTTTTTTTTTTTTTTTTTTTTTTTTGAGATAGGGTCTTGCTCTGTCACCCAGGCTGGAGTGCAGTGGTGTAATCTCAGCTCACTGCAACCTCCGCCTCCCGGCTTCAAGCAATCCTCCCACCTAACCCCACCGGGTACCTGGGACTACAGGCATGCGCCACCACAGCTGGCTAATTTTTGTATTTTTGGTAGAGACGGGATTCTGCCATGTTGACCAGGCTGGTCTTGAACTCCTAGGTTCAAGTGATCCGGCTGCCTCGGCCTTCCAAAGTGCTGGGATTACAGGTGTGAGCCACTGCACCCGGCCTTGGGTTGATGATTATATTTAAATGTGCTTTTGGTCATAAAGCACATTTCTTTACATACATTGTACCCAATTCCACATGTTTTGTGGCCAGGAATGCCTGTTCTCCTGATAAAGTGGATTCTTCCTCTTGCCATATCCTTTCTTGGAGCCAAGAGTCACAAACCAGTAGCCAGCAACCTCTGTGACTGCCGGCTGTATCTCCCCAGGGTGGTTCTGAGATGGGAGGTCGAGTGAAGCACGGTGGTCCCACCAGTTCACTAGGACTGTCTCTAGGGTCTCTGTGCATAGGCCTCATGTGGCCTGTTGGGTATGGGGGTGGAGGTGTTCCATTGAGGGCTGGTCCCCTCCCACATTGGGGAGGAAGTTAACCCCCCCCATGCTATTTTAGGTTGAATTCTGTTCCCCAAAAAGATATGTTGGAGTCCTAACCCCCAGGACCTCAGAATGTGACCTTATTTGGGACATTGGTTCTTTACAGAGGTAATTAAATTAAAATGTATTCATATGGGTAGACCCTAATCAGATATGACTAGTGCCCTTATCAAAAGGGGACATTTGGACAGAGATGGACATACACAAAGGGAAGATAATGTGAAGACCCATAGGGAGAAGATGGGCATGTGCCTGGGGTGATGCACCCACAAGCCAACAATGCCAGGAATTGCTGGCAAGGAAGGACCCTCCCCTACAGTTTAAGAAAGAACATGGACCTGCCACCACCTTAAATTTGGACTTCCAGCCTCCTAAACTGTCAGACCCTACATTTCTGTTGTTTTCAGTCACCCAGTTTGAGGCACTGGTTATGGCGGCCCTAGGAATCCAATACACACGCCGACCTGCATGAACTGCCCAAGGGCTTCCTTTGACACAGGTCTTGGCAGTCATATGGCATTTCCTCCACCATTTCCTCTTGCTCTCCTCTTCCTCTCTGCTTTTCCTGTGAACACAGTCACATGAAATATTGTGTGTGGGTAGAGGTAGGGTGGTGTAGCAAAGCCAAGATCCAGGCCAGCATGAGTGGGTGGGTTAGGGAAGGGGAAGGAGCTGCGGGACTACAGTCCAGGGGTCTGCTCGGAGTAGCATTGGATAAGGGAGGAAACAGAAGGTGAAATTAAAAACGTGATGATTTGGAAGAGCAAAGCTCTTTGATTTTGAAAATTATTCCTCATTTTGGACAGTGACTATGGTGACTGTAATGAGGGAAGCGGGAAGGAATTTCCATTTTAAGAACAATTGTGGGTTCCATTACCAATGTGATTAACTTCAGGGACTGGAAAAGGTGGAGCTTTGAGGGGCTTTCTGGAAATTCCACAGTTATAGATAGTTTGAAAGGTATAGTTTTGAAAACATGGTGGAATATGGCATTCATGGATTAGGATTAAAAGTTTTCACTCTTCTGTGAGTATTCCCGAAGGGCCATGATATATACAAAGTGGTAATAGTTTGCAATGACGTTGCCTCATGTGGGGTGTGGTAAGGATTAAGTGGAATTTGCATGTAATGTGTATACCCCAGTGTGAACCCCACAAGGAAGGAGTTATGAGGATTAGGCTCTGATGGGCCCATGGCAGCCCAGCACCTCCATCCCATTTACAGGATGAATTTGGGGATGTGACCGTCTGAGATCTGTGAAGAGCTCATGATGAAATCCACCAGAAGATATCTGCCAAGGAGAAGCAACATCTGAGCATATTGTTCATGAATTACAGGATCAGTGAATTAGTTCTGGCTTTCAACCCAACACGCTCATTTTCACCAGATGAGGAGCCTGTATCTCAGTGACTTGCCCAATCATACTACTAAAGATAGTGAGTCAGAACCAGAGTCCAATTTCTACCATCCTGATCAACAAACATTTTCAAGTAATTACCATGGGGCCAGCACCAGGAAACATACTTTCTGTCTTCTCATAGCTTATAACCTAATCAAAGAGACAATGCCAATATCTCAGCATTGTTTGATGAAGACAGTAAGGGCAACAGGAGGAACAGGAGCTTTCCATAATCCCTTAACGTGGAAAACTCTGCTTTTCTTCATCTGGAACCTGGAATAATATTTGTCTTGCCTCCTGAACTTGTTACATGAAAATGCTTTGAAAACTAAAATGATGCACTATGAATGGAGGACATGTTAGCAATAAAGAGCCGGGGGGCTGGGTGCAGTGGCTCATGCCTGTAATTCCAGCAGTTTGGGAGGCTTAGGTGGGCGGATCTCTTAAGGCCAGGAGTTCGAGACCAGCCTGGACAACATAGTGAGACCACATCTCAAAAAAAAAAAAAAATTCAGAGAAGTGAGAGGCAGATGTAGACTTGGAGAGTGGAAGGTAGAGCGCAGCCCTTACAGTGGATATAATTTTGACATTTGTGGCTGAGGAGAGTGTCCAGGAAGAATGAATAGGATGAGCAGAGGTGGAAAAGTGTAAATTGGGGAAAGAGAATATTGATCAAATTGATGAGTTTGGCTGATATGGTGAGTTACTGTGTATCTTTCAGCCGGTATTTGGAGGCAAGTCCAAATCAGTGACTCGAGGGATTTGGTGCAGAACAGTAGGTACTGTTAGACAGATATTATTATCATTGCACTGATATTATTATTTGTGGAAGGTCTTTGAGATAAACATGATCTCTTCAGTATCTTTGTAAACATCTGTCCCATTGAACAGGGAGAAAACATATTTTTGAAACAGATGTTAGCACCTTATTCATACTGTCTCTTGTCCTGCTTTATTTCTTTTCATGTAAAAAAGTTAAAATAGAAAACAGCAAATTCAGATAAAGGTGGTAGTATATCCAGAGAATAGTGCAAAAACATCTGTCAAGCTAAACTTGGGACTTTATTAATAGGTTAAAGCCGCCTATGGCTGTTATCTGTTTCCATTGCATTGAGTTCAGTGGTTGTTATGCTGGAACAGCTGAGCAGATTTTTACCTCCTGTGCTTAATATTAATTTGATTCATATGGGTTCTTAATAGCTCTGGTGAAGTGGAACTGTGTTTGACACTACTTTTGTTTGTGGTTAGATGATGTATTCAGTTCTGAAACTTGAAGAGAAAAAAAAAAAGAAAATGCTGATAACCTGCCCAGTTTTAATCCCATTTGCCCCCTGTAGCTCATAAAACTCTTGTAGCTAAACTTCCACTGGGGATCAGAGAACACTTTTGGTGTGTCGGCACTGCTGTTTCATCTTTTGCTGTGGAGCTGTGTTTTAGTCTGTTTAGGCTGGCAAAATACCCTAGATTGGGTAGCTTAAAAACAGACTTCTTGGAGTTCTGGAGGCTGGAAAGTCCAAGATCAAGAGTCCAGCAGATCAGGTATCTTGTGAGGGTGGCTTCCTGGTTTGCGGGTGGTGCCTTCTCCTTGTGTCCTCGTGTGGCTGAGGGAGCCAGCCCCAGGCTCTTCCTCTTCTTCTAAGGACACTAATCCCATCATGGGGCCCCACACTTATGATCTCATTTAACTTGTGTCACCTCTCAAAGCCCCCCACCCCGATATCATCCCATTGGAAGTTAGGGTTTCAACATATATATGAATTTTGGGGAACCCATTCGCTCCATAGCAAACAGCATTTGGTTTGAGACCGTCAGTCCAGAACCTGCCTCACCAAAAGGGTTTTGTTACTGCCATTCCCCATGGACTTCTTTACAAGGGATGCTCCTGGGATGACAGCAACATGACGATGGTGTTCCATGTCACAGGATGAGCAAGTTTTTGCTACTTGGATCACCCTATGCATATAAGCAACCACCTGCTTATCATAATGGTCTAAAATATTTCACTTGAAGAAGTAGGGATGTGTTTGAATTTTATAACTCTTAGGTCTTCAGCTCACAGGAGACAAATCGATTGATTGATTCATTCATTCATTCAACGAATATTTGCTGAGGACTGAGGAATATTCTAGGTGCTAAATAATTTAGCCATGAATGAGACAAAATCCCTGCCTTCAAGGGGCTTATGTTCTAGTAGGGATGTCTGACAATGAGGAAGTCCACAAATATATGTATAACATAATATCAGATTATTATGACTGATAGAAGAAAATTAAGAAGGGTGAAGCAGTAGACCATGACTTGAGGAGATGAGGCTGTGTTAGATTAGTTAGTCAGGGAAGGCATATATTTGAAGAGGTGACACTGAGCAGAAATCTGAAAGAAGGGATTGAGACTTGAATATATGAGGGAAGAGCATTCCAGGGAGAGGGAACAGCTAGTGCAAAGGCCCTGAGGTGGGGATGAACTTTGCATGTTTGAGGCATGGGAAGAAGATCAACGTCACTGGAGTGCAGTGGAGAACAAGAGAGTGAGTGGGAGGAAGAGGATGCCACTGAGAGAGCTAGGGGCCAGATCAGGTAGGGCCTTAAAGACCATGGTGGGGACATTAGGTTTTGTTCTTAGTATAACTGGAAGTCATTTTTAAAAGATTACTCTAGCTGCTGTGTAGAGAGTGGGACGTAAGGGGGCAGGAGAGGAAATGGGAAATTACAGAAGCTATCATAAGATTTCAGTTGAGAGACGAGGGTGGACTTGGACCAGGGCTCATGATGGAAGAGATGGGAAGTAACTCGAATTAGGAGCATTTTGACAGTGACACGATTTGCCAGTGGATGAATGTGGGGTGTGATTATCAGGGAAACAGCTTTGCTCTTATTCTCCAGGTAGAGATGCTGTGGACCACAACCATGAACCCCCACCCACTGCCCAAGAACAGACATGGTCCATCGTGGTGGAATCCGTGGCCCTTTCATGAAAGTGAAGGATGGACAAAGCCTTAAAATGGCTTCCATCACTTAAAAGTTTAAAACATTTTAAATGTGATTCATTTTCTGTGAAGAATAGAACCAAGATTTTGCTTGCTTTGTATCACCTTTTAAAACCCTTTTCTCAGTAACCTTTCAAAACCACAGCCGATGTTCCTTAGTTGGAAAAATTAAGTAGATTGCAATTTCCAGGAAGACAAGACCCATCATCGTGGGCACGTTATGAAGTTCATTATTTAGCATATTGGAAAGATTGGATTTGTTTACAGTTTCTTCTGCTGGATGGTAATCCTAGACAGAATCAGCACAGTTAATGGTGAAAAAGAGGCAAATAATGAAAATTCAGATTTTTCTCTTCCCATTTCTGGTAGTTCAGATTTTAGATAATTTTCTTTTAGACACAATACCCTGTTGGCTTGACTCATTTTGGATTTCTGGTTTCCTTTTGTTCTGTCATTATTTTTTCCTTCCTTCCTCCAAGTCTGTTTATCACATTTTTCCCCTGTAAAAATAATTTGACATACTTTATATGGTTTCTAAATTTGTCTAAGACAACTATGCAATTGTTTAGGGTGCTTTTGTAAAAAAAACAATGTACAGAATTAAAATAATGTGATTTGGGGGAAGTGTCAACTATTTCTTGGTCTTTTTCCAAGAACAATTATTCCAGGAATCTGTTGTATTCTAAATTAGCTGTATCTTTCTTATTCTTTAAGATTGCATTTACGGCCTGTGATTAGATATTTTCATAACACTGAAATTTAAGCCTTGACATTAAAATGATGTCAGCTCTTGTTTTGTATCCATGAACATGCAAAGTTATTAAAAAGTGCATTCATGTTCAGAGAGCTCTTGCATTTCTAAAGTTAGTATTGTTTTATTTTGGAATGTACTGACAAGACTAGCACTCCTGTTGCTGATTTCCTCATGCAAACAAAGGCCATGATTTTTGCATTTTACTGGTTCATGGAGCTGGTAGTTTGTAGCAGAGTATCAATGGTTAGTTTTATGTTGAATCTGATTTGGTAAGATTGTTGTTCTCCAGCTGACATAGTTATTGCTCAGATTCTCTATTGTTAAGAATATAATTTAATTGAATGATGCCTTACTTCTCCTAAAGAGGAAAAATATTTCAGCTTCTTCAGGACACAGGACTGTGTTTTAGTCTGGAAGGATTCTAAGGCCAAGACTCAGCCTTTGACCACACATGGCCACCGTGGAGGTCAGTCTTCATGCACTCCCCCAATGGCATTAACACCACAGATATGTACGGAGCACTTATGATGTATTCTCATAATCCACCCAACAGTCTTGAAGTGTTCTTCTTGCTGCAATTGAGAAGTTAATTGAATCTCAGAGACAGTAGATGTCTTTCTCAGGGCCCACAGGAGTAACCAGCAGGACCAGTGGTCACATCTGGTGGAAAGGAGGCTGCAAAGTACAGGACAGCATAACACCTTCCTTTAAGATATGCACAGCCTAGAAGGGAAGACCAAGAAAGTCATTATAGAAACGGCAAGAAGACCATTGCATGTAAGCAAGGACACCGTGACTGTATGTGAGCCAAAAGTGTCCCCATACATGTTGAGAGAGAGTGGATGACAGAGCAGTCAGGCAGTAGCTGTGGGAGCAGTAGTCAGGAGATTTCTTCACATTTAATTAGCAGCAACTATTCTGAATGATCCTGTTCAAGGGTTTTCAAAACCTGCCTTGGAAAGAAAGTCCATGCTCAGCAACCCCAAATTTCTGAGTCTTGTCCCTGCTACCTGATCCCCATCTCACACCACTCACCTCCTCCTGCCTGGAGATGATGAGGGATCTCAGGCTTATCTATACATGTCCACCTGTTGCTACTGCCCAGCTGCCCACATGTGCTAGTAATGCTACTCATGGCTCATAGTTTTTGTTGTGTTTGTTTTTGTTTTGTTTTGTTTTGTTTGTTTGTTTTTTAGACAGGGTCTTGCTCTGTCACCCAGGCTGGAGTGCAGTGGCATGATCTTGGCTCACTGCAACCTCCGCCTCCCAGGTTCAAGCGATTCTCCTGGCTCAGCCTCTCAAGTAGCTGGGATTACAGGTGCCCATCACCATGCCCAGCTAATTTTTGTATTTTTAATAGAGATGGGGTTTTACCATGTTGCCCAGGCTGGTCTCGAACTCCTGTCCTCAAGTGATCAACTTGCCTTGGCTTCCCAAAGTATTGGAATTACAGGCATGAGCCACCGCACCCGGCTGTGTTTGTTTTTAAACTACACAACTTGTATCAGGATGCTCTTGGTTGAAGTAGCAGAAAGCCAGGTTCAAATTGCCTAAAGCAGCAAAGCAACATATTGATTTGCCTAAATTGGCACCCAGAGATAGCAGGCTCCATGTTGGTCTGTGTGACAGTTGAGCAGTGTGATCGGGGACTCTGGTGGTTCTCATCTGTCTGCTCAGCCCTCCACACCGGCCACCTTCCTCTCTGATTGCTTCTCCTCGTGGGCCCAGGATGGCTGCCAGAAGCAGGTGGGTCCATGTGCTTCCTCTTTCACATCCAGTGTCAGACACATCCTGGCTTCCCACTGCTGCTTGTGAGAGGAAGGAAGGATTTTTCAAGATGCTTCTACTAGTCCTGTCTTTTTCTGTCTTTAGACAGATTTGGCTTACATCTCCGCTCCTGAACTTTCAAGAGATGTGGGATTCCCTTAGACTATCCATGCCCTCATTTTGAGCTGAGCTCCAATCTCCAAGCCACAGGCTGCTGTTTAATGGGGGTGGAGTTGAGTGATTGCAGCATCAGCCACAATGCTCATTACACAAAGACAAGTAGTCACTCAGAGTCACCTACTGTCTCCTGATGTGTCTTGATTTTCATCCTCCTATTGAATTTTGGATTAATGAATAGTGTGATACACAGTATGACGAAATGAATTGCCTAAAATTATTAGGCGCCAGGTGGTAGACAATCTAAAAACATGAAAACATGCTCAGCCTCATTAGTAATCAGGAAAATGTAAATTAGGATCACAGTGACATGCTTTTTACTCCCACAAAGTTGGCAAAAATTAAGAAGTCTGACATTACCAAGCGTTGGCAATGATGCGTATGAGGAAACAGCACGGCTCATATAAGGCTCGTGGGAGTGTAATTTGGTGCCACCACTTTGGATAAAAAATTGGTATTATCTTATAAAGCAGAATGCACATCTACCCTCTGACTCAACAATTCCATTTGTAAGTATATATACTAGAAACATATTTGCAATTTCTTGAGGAGATATGTTTGAGATTGTTCATGATGATAACTGTTCACAATAGCAAAAAACTGGAAACAATATAAATGTTCAAGAAAAAGGGAACAAATAAATGCACCATGGGAGATTCATACAGTGGAGTATTATCCAGCAGTGGAAACCAGAGAAACTGCAGCTACATGCAGCAACATGGGCATATATATATTTTTTTTTTGTTTGCTTGTTTGTTTGTTTTTTGAGATGGAGTCTCGCTGTGCCGCCCAGGCTGGAGTGCAGTGGCGCGATCTCAGCTCACTGCAAGCTCCGCCTCCCGGGTTCACGCCCGGCTAATTTTTTGTATTTTTTTTTTTTTTAGTAGAGACGGGGTTTTACCGTGGTCTCGATCTCCTGACCTCGTGATCTGCCTGCCTCGGCTTCCCAAAGTGCTGGGATTACAGGCGTGAGCCACCGCACCCAGCCTATTTTTTTTTTTTTTTTTTTTTAGACAGAGTCTCACTCTTGTCACCCAGGCTGGAGTGCAATGGTGCAATCTCAGCTCACTGCAGCCTCCGGCTCCTGGGTTCAAGCACCCACCACCACACCTGGCTAATTTTTGTATTTTTAGTAGAGATGGGGTTTCACCACGTTGGCCAAGCTGGTCTTGAACTCCTGACCTCAGGTGATCTGCCCACCTCGGCCTCCCAAAGTGTTGGGGTTACAGGCGTGAGCCACCGCGCCCGGCCTGCATGGGCATATCTTAAAAACTTATCGTCAGCAAAAAAAATTGCTAAAGACTACATGCAGTAAAATACCATGTGTTTTGTTTTGTTTTGTTTTGTTTTGTTTTGTTTTGTTTTGTTTGAGATTGAGTCTCACTCTGTTGACCAGGCTGGAATGTAATGGTGCAGTCTCGGCTCACCACAACCTTTGCCTCCTGGGTTCAAGCGATTCTGCTGCCTCAGCCTCTGGAGTAGCTGGGATTACAGGTGAGCGCCACCACACCCGGCTAATTTTGTATTTTTAGTAGAGATGGGGTTTCACCCTGTTGGCCATGCTGGTCTTGAACACCTGACCTCAAGTGATCCACCCGCCTGGGCCTCCCAAAGTGTTGGGATTACAGGCATGAGCCACCATGTCTGGCCAATAACATGTTTATAAAACTCAAAAGCAAGCATATTCAAGCAATAAATTGTTCAGAGGCATTTGTGCATGGTAAAACTATGTTTAAAAGCAAGGACAGTTTCCTAGGGAGGGAGTCGTCTGGAAGGTAAGATCCAACGGTATTGGTAATGGGATCTAATCTTTAGTTGGGTGGTAGGATTGGAAGTATTGTTTTATTTGGGGGCTTCATGACTTTCTGTCTATTCATATAAAATATTACATAATAATCTTTAAAGTCTTTGCTAAGTTTACCATCATTTGCGTAGTTCAGGGAGAGGACCTAGAATATAACTAAGGCAACAGGAAAATAATGTTCGAAGGGGATTAGAGAAGTCCACATCATCTCAATGACAAAGAACTCACTGAGTTCTTAAGAAAATGTGACTGAGTGCAGTAGAGTGGCAAAGTAAGAGGAAGCCATGCCTGCTGAATGAATTAACAATTTATGAGGGAACAAATCATCATGTGGTTGGGGGAACCAGTGGCTGTAATCTATTTAGGCCAAAGTATATGATTAAAGGCTGTACCATGAGTTATTAAAACCCTGACGTCCTTGTGACTTGGCGAAATGTTTGTTCATGGATAGGGAGGCAGGGATCAGAAGTTAAAAAAAAAATTTGTTTAAACGAAGAATTAAATTGAGTCTTCATCTTTGTGTAGAAGTATAAGAGTTTTGTTTCTGTAGTCATCAGAGTTGATATTTGCCAGTAGCACATTTTCAGTGAATGATTTGGAAGGGCAAGAAAATCCCTTGGTCAGATGTAACTGAGTGCACCCAAGTGCTGAAACACTGAACAAATGCAGCTCGGTCAATGAGATCAGGGCCTGTTTGGCTCAGAAATACAGCAGATGAGCTCTAGTGTAGATAGCACCTGTGCTTGGTAACTTGCACCTCTCATTAAAGTCTTCTCTAGGCACTGATCATCCGTGGGAAAACACTGTAGCTTGGGTGGTTAAAGGCTTTTCCCACACTTAGTCTGGAATGGAATCTCTTCATGGTTAAATAGTAAGTTCTATTTCTGGTGTCATTTGTGTGACTCAGCACAATCTCATTATCCCTCTTTAGAAACATCCATGTCTCATTCACAACCTAAAACCCAGACTGAGTCCAGGGTTGAAGTCTCTGTCCAGCCAGCGGTTACTACATTACACAATTGTTATTTTTGTCAACCTATCTCAGTTTCCTCATTAGGGAAATGAAAGGGTTAAACTGGACTATTTCTGAGGTCTCTTTCAGATGCAATATTCTGACTCTGGGAATCCATTTGCAAAGAGCTGGATGTTGGAGAGAGCCCTCTGCAAGGTCAGCATGAGGCTAACATTAGCTGCCTTCTTGCTCACACTGTTATTTGTGCATGAGATGATGTGGACTTCTCTAATCCCCTTCAAACATTATTTTCCTGTTGCCTTAGTTATATTCTAGGTCCTCTCCCTGAACTATGCAAACAATGGTAAACTTAGCAATGACAAGCTAGAATCTTCCAGAGTTTATTTATTAATTTGCTTCTGCTGTTGTATATTAGGTATACAACTTAGGTGATGTGTGAAAAAGCCCATTAACTTTAGTGAGCCTTCATATGCTGACGACAGATATATTTTATATTGGTCCCTGGGGGAATGTTAATGTGAGCTATTGTCTATATCTAAAGGAAAACAACCACTCAGGATATTAGCTAGTGGATACAACTGTGCTTGCATAAAGTATCCTAAACATCCATGTCCTTCAACTCAGAGTGAATGTGGCCATTGATAAGTGGCACCTAGGAAAGTAGAGTCATTTTTTTTTTAATTTTGGTTTTTAATTAAAGTAACATATAGTTTAAAAGGCCAAATTGTGCTAAAAGACTTATAACCAAAACCAGCCATCTCCTGTGACCCTGCCCCCTACTCTCAGTTTCAACTGTTTTTGGTATTCTAAGTAATATGTATGTACTTCTCTCTTGGTTCATTCATGTTAGACATTATCTGTGTACTTTTTATTTTCTTATGCTTTCCCTTCCTCTTTCTCCCTAATCCCTTCAGAATAGCTATATCATAAATTTTTATTAAATCCATATCCAGATTTTTAAATTATTTTGCACATGTAAATATTGTTCACACCTATGCCAGGTTGTACTATGAATATTTCCTTATATAACATTTTATATTTCCTGACTCATTTTTTTTTTTTTTTGAGACAGAGTCTCACTCTGTCACCCAGGCTGGAGTGCAGTGGTGTGATCTTGGCTCACTACAACCTCCGCCTTCCAGGTTCAAGCAATTCTCATGTCTCAGCCTCCTGGGTAGCTGGGATTACAGGCACGCCACCACACCTGGCTAATTTTTGTATTTTTAGTTGAGAAGGAGTTTTGCCATGTTGGCTACACTGGTCTCCAACTCCTGACCTCAAGTGATCTGCCCACCTTGGCCTCCGAAAGTGCTGGAATTTCAGACGTGAGCCACTGTGCCCAGCCTCCTGACTTGTTTTTGTATTTGGACTTTTCCACATCTTCCAACAGCTCTGTAAAAATATGTCCATCCAATTGCACCCATTCTTGCTATTTTAGCTCTATCTGAGCCTCCTTCCACTTCAGTTGGACTGGCCTGGGGCACTGCTGTCGCTCCAGAGTCTCCCGTCATGATCATCCTGAGGGTTTTCCTTGCCCCTCTTCTGGATGGGCATCCTCCTTGGCAAGGAACATCCTTCCTGTTCCTGCATTCCAGATCTTCAGCTTCATCATTTTCCTCCCTGCTTTTGGTGGAAAACACCCTGTGACATCTTAAGGAAGCAATACCTTTTTGAGATTTTAAATATCTGAAAATATGTTTATTTCAATCTTACACTTGATTGATTGTCAAGTTGGGTATACAAATATGAATGGAAAATCATCCTCAATCAGAATTTTGAAGCAATGATTCCATTGTCTTCTAGCTTCCACATTTTCTATTCAGAAGTCCAGGGCCATATACTAAATATTTGAACCTGACCTTGTCCCCACCATTCCTTTACCTCTTTCAAAGCTTTTAGATGTTGTTCTTTACAGCTGGTGTTTTGGAGGTTTTGTTTTCTCAAATGATGATCAATCATTGTGTTGGGCATCAATACCAGGGTGGTGGTGAGTCCTGTTGATGTAGAAATGTGGGTTTTTCATTTCTAGGAGATGTCCTTCAATAATTTTCCTCCCCATTATTATTTTTTGTCTGTTCTCTCTATCTGAAACTTCTTTTGTATCTGTAACTCTTTCATTTGGATATTGATGTGTTGTATTTTTTTCTTGAGACAGGGTCTTACTCTGTTGCCCAGGTTGGAGTGCAGTGGTGCAATCATGGCTTGTTGCTGCCTCAACCTCCAGGCTCAAGCAATCCTCCCACCTCAGCCTTCTGTGTACTTGGGACTACAGCCATGTGCCACCATGTCTGAGTAATTTTTTTATTTTATATTTTTTGTAGAGACAAGGTCTCACTATGTTGCCCAGGCTGGTCTTGAACTCCTGGGCTCAAGCAATCAGATGCTCCTACCTCAGCCTCCCAAAGTGCTGGGATTAAAGGTGTGAGCCACTGCACCCAACCAATGTCTTGTATTGATCCTTTAATTTTCTTAGCTTTTGTATTATCCATCTCTTGATCTTTTTGTTGCACTTTCTGGAAAATTTATTTAACTTTATCTTCTAATGTTTCAATGAATTTTTAAATTCACCTGCAATATCTTTCAGTACCAAAAACTCCTTCTTGTTCTCTAACTGTTCTTTTTTAGTGTCCTGTTCTTGCTTTATTTTTCTGATGATATAAGTTATAGTTTCTTTGAAAAATAAAAAGAGAGAGCCCACTTCCAGGCTTATTGAGGTTTTAAGTAAATTTCAGTTCCACGTGGTTGGAGGACACAAGTTCCCGTTTCTTCCCGGCTGTTGGCCAGGGGTTAACCTCAGCTTCCAGAGGCCCCCTGCATTCCTTGGCTCGTGGCTCCTTTCACTCCAGCAGCAGTGGGGAGAGTCTTCCCCACCTTAGAATCTCTGCCTCTCTCCTCCTGCCTCATCTCTCCAACACACTTCTTCCAACACCCCTCTACGCCCTTTGTCTTCTGTCTCTAAGCACTGATGTGAGTACCCTGGGCCCACCTGGATGATCCAGGATGATGTCCCCATCTTACCATCAGCTGAATAGTGACCTTAGGAGCATCTGCAGAGCCCCTTCCACAGCAGCATCCAGATGAGGAGTCTCAGGGAGACCTCTTCAGAATCCTGCCTGCCACATGTATACACACATATTGAGTCTTAACCACTTTGTGAGATACAGCTTAACAAATATGTACACACATAGTGAACCTAACTTTTTTAATGGGGACAACTTTATTGTCCCCATTTAAAAAATATGAAAACTGAGGCATAGAGAAGTGAAATGACTTTCCAAGGTCAGTTAGTAGGCGGCAGAGCTGGATTCACACCTGGCAGTGTGTCTCCAGATACTCCCTCTCTGTTACTCGCCAAGATGCCCTGCAAGCCAAATGCCATCTCAAACACTGATGACAGGTGTATTCATATTTTGAAATTAATAAAACTGTGAGAGATAGAGTTGAATGTGAAAGGTGCAAAACTGCCCATTTAAGGCCTTCAAGTTTTCTGGATATAGAGTGCTTTCCTTTTCATTCATAGGATTGGTTCATAATCTTTAAAAAAATATAATGTTTGCAGACTGGGTACAGAGAATTGAAAAGGAAGGCATGCTAGTTACTTGGCATGTAGCAGGACTTCGAATTGACAGGTGGAGAATCTGAGGCCAGAGCCTCATTGCCATGTCTCTTCCTGCAGCCTCCACTCTGCTCTCACTTCCCTCTCCTCTGTTAAATTCCCTACTTCATGGCCGGGTGCGGTGGCTCACGCCTGTAATCCCAGCACTTTGGGAGGCTAAGGCGGGTGGATCACCCAAAGTCAGGAGTTTGAGACCAGCCTGGCAAACATGGTGAAACCCCATCTCTACTAAAAATACAAACATTAGTGGGGCATGATGGCCAGGCCTGTAATCGCAGCTACTCAGGAGGCTGAGGCAGGAGAATCACTTGAACCCGGAGGCTGGAAGTTGCAGTGGGCCCAGATCGCGCCACTGCACTCCAGCCTGGGTGACAGAGCGAGACTCTGTCTCAAAAAATAAGTAAAATAAATAAATAAATAAAATTCCCTACTTCAGCTGCACACTTGCCACTGCTTCCACCCCATTTTCACTCCTCCTCACAACTAAATCCCTGAAAAGAATGTTCCAGATGCTCATTCATCCTCTCACTGACCCCTGCCACACAGGCCCCTCTGCAGGCAGCCTTCCATGCTCACTGCTCCATGAAGCCGTCCTGGTGTGGTCTTGGGTGAACTTGTCCACCCCAGGACACCCACTAGGCCATGTCTTACCAAGTCCCTCAGTGCTGGACAGGTGGGCCACTGCCCTCTTCTGGAACTTTCTTTTCTCAACTTCTTTGCTGCTGCTCTTCCAGGGCCTCCCCCTACCTTCTGACCTCTCTTTCTCAGTCGCCTCTGCTGATTTTTCTTTCTCCACCTGCCTCCTTATTTGCAATCCGCATAAGGAGAAGCAAATGCAGAGCTCTGGTGGGCAGAGAGGAAGCGCGGATGAGCGAGGTGGGAGGGGCCCGGGGTCCACGTGGAGCACGCCCCTTCCCAGCAAGGGGGGCGTTCATTGCGCAGAGCTCCACCAGGCAGGCGCCCAGGGATGGCCACCAGTCCCCGAGTTTCCAATGGCCTCTGCCTTCCTCAGACACCTCCCTCGCTTCAGCGGTTTCAGTAACCATACCGGGGCTGCTTCCTGCCCATGTTTTTGCCCATGCTTTTTACAGCATTTAAAAATGTATATGTTTGTTTCATCATAATTTACCTTTGTGGCTTAGAAATCAAATCATGGAAAGCAACTGTCTCCAACTCCACCCTCGCCGACCGCAGCCTCCGCCTCAGAGCCAGATCCTCTTCCTCTTCCTTAGTAGGCATCTTCTCCGACTCGGCTTCTAAGTCCGGCTCTTTTTGTGTGGGTTCCAGGGCCCTGCCGTGGGGGCAAAGAGGATGGAGTTGCTTACCCACCATTTCCTCTTGGCTGGCGGGCTGCTTATTGCGAAGGTGAGACAGAACTGTGGGGCGGGAAGCAGGAGAGGAATCGCCCGCACCTGGAATTTCTCTTTTAGTTTATTTGCTTCCTGGTTCCATTTTCTGTAAACTACAGCCAATCATTCTGTTCAGAGTGGAGCGTGGAGTGGGGTAAGTGGTGGTGAGAGTGCATGAGGAAACTTTTTTTTTTTTTGAGACGGAGTCTTGCTTTGTTGCCCAGGCTGGAGTGCAATGGTGCCATCTCGGCTCACTACAACCTCCGCCTCCCGGGTTCAAGCGATTCTCCTGCCTCAGCCTCCCGAGTAGCTGGGATTACAGGCATGCGCCACGAAGCCCGGGTACTTTTTTTTTTTTTTTTTTGTATTTTTAGTAGAGACGGGGTTTCTCCGTGTTGGTCAGGCTGGTCTCGAACTCTCAACCTCAGGTGATCCACCCACCTCGGCCTACCAAAGTGCTGGGTTTACAGGCTTGAGCCACCGCGCCCGGCCCACATTTTTATATAATAGTACATTTACTTGCAAATATTGGAAATGTTCAGCCTATTTAATTTCCACGTTTGCCTAATGCATGTGCTCTATCTCTGGATTTACAGTTATCGTCCATTATGAGCTGGGAATTTCTAGAGGACCTCTGTGTGTGTGTTAGTGTAGCACTTAGCACAATGTCATAAATAAATAGGCTTTTAATCATGCTGATGATATTGATCACACTCACGATGTCTGGGAGAGAAGGTGTTGGCTGTGCTGCTCAGTGGTCTTGATTTCTTAGAACTGGAGCATGAACAACATGCTCGAAATGCGAAGTAATGAACTGGAACGGTGAAGAAGGTCATAAAGAGCCTACCTGGAGGAGGATAGTGACGGCACTGTCACAAATGCTTTATATGTATTATTTAATTCTTGCAGTTCCCTCCTGCGGTAGGTCCAATTATTATCCTCATGTTCGAGTGAAGGAAACTCAAGCAGGGTGAGGTTAGGTTAATAACTTGCTAAAGTCACATGGCAAGTAAGTGTGGAGCCGGGATTTGAACCCAGTCATCCTGGCTCGGGGTCCATGGCCCTGGCTGGCCCTGGATGCCGCTGGGGGGCCCTCTGTAGGGCTGACTTGCCCTCCTCAGAAGCCCCTTCCTTAGCTTACGGCCACATAGCCCTCTGGTAGTCCTCATCACCAGCTCTGCTCTTAATTTGGCCATTTTCCGCCTTAGGATTGGAGTGAATCATCCTTCAAAGACAGAGCCACGTTCTGCACTGTGTTAAGCATAGTCCGTGGCTCACAGTTCATGCGTGAGCCACACACACATGCACACTTTGTTGGGAAGAAGAGCAACAATAAATTGCTTATTTAGAAATGGGCGAGGCCAGGTGCAGTGGCTCACATCTGCAGTCCCAGCACTAAGGAAGGCAGATGTGGGAGGATAGCTTGAGCCCAGGAGTTCAAGACCTGCCTGGGCAACATAGCAAGTCCCAGTTCTCCACAAAAAAGAAAGAAAGAAAGAAAAAAAGACAGGGAGAGAAATGGGTAAACTTGTCAAAACAGATAAAAATATATCCGTCTTCCAGTATGTATATTTTCTAATCTGTACACTCATCAGAATGTAGGGTTAGACTACATAATATACTCTGAAAATGTTCCTGTCATTATTTGAGAAATTATTTATTTTATAGATTCCAGCTGCATATGTTTCCTAACCTCAGGAAAAGCATGTTTCTGCCTTTATATACAATTAGTATTTCACTATCAGTGACAACAGTTCAAAAGAACCCAGACATGAAACAAAATCACCAATATTTGGGAACGCTGAAAAAGGCATGTGTATCACTCTCATATCAGTGTTCCAGAATAAACAATACGGGACTTTGTTAAATAATGCATCCACTTCTGCATAAACGTCTGGCAAATGCTGTTATTTCTAAGGAGATTCTTTAGCCCAGGACACCAGGGGAGATGGCTCAGCTTGTTCGTGACGTCTCGCTGTTGAGCAGATTGCTCTTAATAGCTTACTGTTCTCTGTAAGATGAAAACAAAATTGACTGTTCAGCACCATTCTCCTCCTCTTAGTGTCATTAGCTTTCTTAAAAGCACACTAAACTCTCAAGAGTTGCCACTTATATGGCTGTAGGAAAGATGTTTCACAGCTGTGAGTGTGGTGGTGGCGTCCACACCTGTCAGGACAGGCAGGGCCCAGGGTCGGAGCTGATAGTAAGTCAGTTTCATTCTAAACATTCATTTCTGAACATTTCACACCATTCCCTAAGCTGTTAGTGCTTTGTTACTTTTTACCTGATTGCACCCCGAGCTCCATCTGGGACTCTGTCAACATTGACATAAGCCTTGGAAAACACAGACTCATGGCTGTTTTTGCTGTTCGGTATTTAGGATTTACACTACACCAGGCACATCACTAAATACCATATGTACATTTACTTCATCCAGTCCGCATTATTATTGTTATGTGATTGTACTATTTATATATTATATTCTGTTATTATGTGTTGATTATGATATGATTGTCACCGCTTTTATTTTTTAATAAAAAGGTTCAGAGAGGTTAGGTAAGTTTGCCTGAGTCACACAGCTAGTGATGAGGTCAGAGATCAGAAGCCAGGCCTTCCGGACTCTGAAGATGAGGCTCCTTACCCAGCCATCATGAAACCTGAAAGGAACTTAGAAATCAGCTGTTTCCAGTCCCTCATTTTATGGATGAGCAAACCTTGGCTCAGCGAACAGTGAATTGCTCAGGGTCCCCTTGTCAGTGGCCTTCAGACCCTGGTCCCAGGCTCTTCCCACTGTGACACGCCATCCACATCCTTTCTCTCGGAGGCTGGCTGGTCCCTCCTGCCAGTCTTCCTGAATGAGTTTGCTTCACCAGATTTGGCTCTGTCTCTAGAAACAAAATGAGTTGAGTTTCATTAGCAAGCATGAAAAATGTAGGTTCAGAGATTAAAAGAAAAACAGTTGGGATATACCATATTGAAGGCACGTGGGTATAAATGGGTTCCAGGGCTCTCAATTTTTTGGGGGGACAAGGCAGAGTTACGTGTAAACAACCGACAAGCCAGCTCACGGCCATGCGGCCCACACTGTACCGTCACTCCCCTCTCAGGATCCATCTACTCTTCAGGAACATTGAATTTTCTTTCTTTCTATGCCCATGGTCACTTTCACCTGTGCTCACACACAGTCGGCTGTGCAAAGAGCAAAACTTGGATGTCCCCAGGTGGCTGCCAGGGTTGGGATGGAAGGTTCTGCTCTAGAAGCCAATAAAACAAAAATATCTGCCTATTAGATTGCAGTGATTAAATACTCTGATATCGCCAAGAAGTTGGATTGGAAGAAGTCCCTGGAATCCCCAATCTAGTACTTCAGTTTCTATGTTTATTGCTAGGCAGTGAATATTGAGTTTCATGGCAAATGTCATATAACTGTAACAGGCCCCTGAGGCAAGAGATGGACCCCTTATTCCGGTTGTTGTTTGAGCCCTGCAGCCTCTTGACTGCTGGAAAGCTTCACTGGCCTTGACCTTGGAAGGCTGACCCAGCCTCTCTTCCCCGCTGGGCGGTGGGGAGTGGGTGATGTCCAAGCCACCGATGGTATAGGCACAAAAACCAAGCCAACAAGGAACCCATTCCAGGAGTATGGGGGTGCTTGGGGCCTGGGTCTCAGGGGAGATCTGCTTTGGTGGAGTCTCCAAAGTATAACATCTGGTTCTCGACTTGGCAGGTCCGGAGACTCAGTGTTATCGCAGCTCTTTCAGAAGTGTTTGCATCGGGGCCTTACAGGTGCCTGAGATATCAAAAGGATGCTATGTATTTAGTGAGAACATTTTGTAAAGGCCAGAATATTCCTTTCCAGTTTTCCAGCATGTCCTGGGCTGGGGAAGTTGAATCTGTGGCTAGAAGGTTGCTTGGTGAGTGGGGCCTGAGCACTCACGGGGAGAGAGATGACCCTGAATGACACCTCATGCCAGCCACGGCGAGTACTAATGAGTCATCCCACAGTTGAGCATATCGCTGGTGACCAGAAGGTTCCTGCCTTCCTGTTACAGCATCTCTGCCAGACAGTGAGGAATGAACACTGCAAAATTTTCCCTCTCCGAATCTTTTCCATGGTCTTTCCAGCAGAGCACAGTGTAACTGATTGCATTCCAGCTCACGTGATTCTAGTCGCATCTTAGGCCTTCTTTTCTGGGCTGATGCGAAATCACACACAACGAACTGGGCGCACCCTTCATTTCTCTTTCTTTTTCTTTTTCTTTTTTTTTTTTTTTTTTTTTGGAGACGGAGTCTTGCTCTGTCGCCCAGGCTGGAATGCAGTGGCGCGCTATCTCCGCTCACTGCAAGCTCCGCCTCCCGAGTTCACGCCATTCTCCTGCCTCAGCTTCCGGAGTAGCTGGGATTACAGGCTCCCGCCACCACGCCCGGCTAATTTTTTCGTGTTTTTTAGTAGAGACGGGGTTTCACCGTGTTAGCCTGGATGGTCTCGATCTCCTGACCTCGTGATCCGCCCACCTCGGCCTCCCAAAGTGCTGGGATTACAGACGTGAGCCACCGCGCCCGGCCCACCCTTCATTTCTTTAGCCACAGATTCTCACACCATCTCTTGCACTCACCCCCACAGCTGTCTCTTAACACCAACTAACTGCATCTAGATAGTTTTTTAAGTAAACATTTGTATAGATGTGTAGTATTCATTCAGGAAAATGTACAAATTGTGAAGGTACAGCTCGATACATTTTTCCAAAGTTATCAGACTAACGTAGCAAGCAGGCAAGGCGTGAAATAGAACACTACCAGGACCCAAGTCCCCTGTGTGCCCTCCTTTCAGCCACCACTACCTCCAGAGTAACCGCTACCCTGCCCTCTAGCATCCTAGGTTTCATTTTGCCTGCTTATAAACTCGATAGTAAAATTCACACTATATTCTCTTTGCTCAACATATTTGCAAGCTATGTCTATGTTGTTTCATGCAGCAAATAGTATGTTTATTTCATTGCTGTATCATCCTCCATGATATTAATATGTAACTTATTACTACATTCTAACGTTGATACTTGAGTTGTTTCAGTTTGAGGCTTGTGTAATAGCGATGCTGTGAACATCCGTATATAGCATTGTGATAAATCAACCGTGTTTTTAATTTATCTAACTTTACTCTCCTAAGGTAATTTTATCTCAGAATTCTGGGAGTACCTTATTGTCATTCCCGTGAACAGGTTGCGGGTCCCTGAGTGCCTGGCCCGTGCTCTGTGTGTCTGCCATGATGTCATTTGTGGACCTGGCCAGTCTTTCCCTGTCAGAGTGTAAATCTATGAAAGTGTCTCCTGCACGTAGTTGAGTGAATTATTCGTTGAATGAATGTCTTCATGAGGGACTGGAGCCTGAAATATTGGGTTGAAATGGAAAACAAAAGTTAGAGTTGCTTATTTCTGTTTCACCATTGCAGTATCCCAAGATGCTACAGTAATTGTGCAAGGAAGCACAAATCCAAGGAGAAAGAAGGTCAAGTCTGCGCTGCAATAAAGCAAGAGACTTGAAGGGCTAGGAAATGGCAACCTTCTGTGGGCCTTCCTGCAGGGTGTCAGTCACCGGACATACTGCAACGCATTAAGTTAATAAGTGCCAAAAACCACACCAGGTGCAACTGTCATCTTCCAGATGAAACCTGTTCCCATGGTATCTGTCTCCTCTGTATCACATAGACACCAAAACATGGTGGTGCCTTGGGAGGGCACAGATTTTTTTATTGTTTTCATTTCAGAAAGCTCTAGCAACATGGCAAGAGGGAGGGTGGAAGTCCCCAGTGCTGAGTTCTGAGTGGAGCATAAAGGGGCTGTTTTTATACCGTGGTTGTACCCGGGAAGCAGACATCTCCGAGCACTTTCAGTGCCACGGAAGGGAAGTTGAGGCCAAGCGAGGGCCTCATTCCTCTCCTTGGAATCTTTGTTGCGTTGAATACCTTCACTGACTCCCCCTCCTCAGGAATTTGTGAGGACCAACAGTTCTCCTAAAGCAGGGGACTATTTTCCTAGTGGGAGTGGCTGCTTCCCAGGGATGGGAGTGGTGGGTGTGATGGGGACACAGTACCCCCACTAAAAGACTTCTGCTCTATAGTATCTCTTTTTTTTTTTGAGACAGAGTTTCGCTCTGTCAGCCAGGCTGGAGTGCAGTGGCGCAGTCTCAACTATAACCTCCGCCTCCCGGGTTCAAGCGATTCTCCTGCCTCAGCCTCCCGAGTAGCTGGGATTACAGGTGCTGCTATCACACCTGGCTTAATTTTGTATTTTTAGTAGAGATGGGGTTTTAATCATCTTGGCCAGGTTGATCTCGAACTCCTGACCTCAAGTGATCCATTCGCCTTGGCCTCCCAAAGTGCTGGGATTACAGGCTTGAGCCACCGCGCCTGGCCTTAAAGTATCTCTTAAGCCGTACTGTGTATCTTGAAAATTTCTGTCAGGTACATCCCAAACCGGCGACTCCTGACCCTGAACTAAGCCAGCAGCCAGGTTCAGTCCTGAGTAAAGTGTTGGCGAGCAGTCCCTGCCCTGCCTCGCCCTCACGGCCGCCTACCATCTGGGCGCTGCCTGCATTTCAGGGACAGTGCTGGCATTTGTTTTTCCTTTTGTATCTTTCAACTAGATAGTGTTGTCACCTACAGAGGAGGGTTTTTAAAAGTGTCGCTGTTGCCCTAGGCATTGCCTGTGATCTGTATCAAAGCCCCACGTGTGAACCACAGCTTGAGCTGGGAACTGAGAAAGGGTCAGTTGTAAAAGTCATCCTAGGATGCACGTCCCCAGCCCCCGTGCATGGATGTGGACACGCAGGCTGGAGGAGGGTGGGGGGCTGGCCACCCTGTTGGCATCTTAGCACCCAGCAGGCTAAAGCTTGCAGCTTTGTTTATTTTCCTGAAGTTCAAAGTTCCCATCCCTCCGTGGAAGGCCTAATAGAACAAAGACCACCCACCTGCAGTTGCTTTTCTTTCTTTTTTGTGCTTCAACTCTAAAGAATCATGCACTATGAAGGAAGTGGCTCCTGCTAGATCTTCCTCAAGCCACACTGATGGACCTGCCATTAGGTACACTGAGGATGCCAGCAGGTGGTCCCTGTTGGGCAGTAGCTCACAGGCATGGACTGAGGTCTCAGAAGGACTATGTGTGGTCATTGAGCTCTCCAGGGGCAATAGGGAAGGGGTGGGGGGAGGGTGGAAGGGGGGCTCTTTACAAACAATCTGAGGTGATGTGTGGTTGCCAGAGTCAGTGTGTGGTGGAATAAAGGCCTGACAAGCTAATATGAGGAGCAAGTTAAAATCTGTAGAAGACCAGGGAGTGAATCACCATCCCAGTTGTTAGTGTACTGGCCTCTGTCTGTAGGTGACACCCAACCGCCCCGGTGCACCAGCGGATGGGGCTCAGCTCGCCTGTCCCCGCCTTTCCCACCCTCCCTCCCAACTCACCCTAGTTGTGAAACGGTGCCCAATTTTTCCAGTTGTTTCACGTGAGCCTGTGTTCGTTATTTAGAATCCATGTCAATGTTTCCCTCCTGGAACCTTGGATTTAAGCCAGAGAGCGCTTCCATCTGTGGCTTCCCCGCCACCGTGGACTGGCTTTGATGGTTATTTCTCCAGCGCATTCCCAGCGCATTCTTGTGAGGGGTGTAGTCTTCACAGTCACATGTGGCTTGAGATCCTCTCTTCGTGTGGGGCACACAAACGCTACAAGCCATACGGCGGCCAGCCAAGAAAAGGGAGCTGTTCATGGTGAGGACTGGGGCAGGAGAGGCAGCTGACAGTTGCCCCTGTTACCTGTATCCTTACGCCTCTGCCATTTTCCCTGTTGTCAACACAGCGTTATGAGGGCTGGCTCATGGCTCACTGGCTCAGCTGAGCAACAGGAGTTTTAGTGATCTCAGAAACATAGATGGAGGGAGTTGTTCAGGTTTTTCCTGATGTACGAAGAATCCAACTGCAAAGCAGCAGCTAAATTTAAGTTTTGTTTTTTACGTATTTTCCAAATCCTGGTATGAAAACTATGATAGTGTCTCTACTTCAAACTGGAAGCAGAGAGATAAGTGAAGCTTGATATTTATTTTTTTATTTTTATTTTTATTTTTTGCTATGAAGCAGTTGCCAGGAATAATGTCTGTTTTTAACACATATTGATAGAAGTAGGGCATTGCCTGGAAAAAAAAAAAAGAGAGGCTTTCCTCACTGGAGGCCTTCGCTTAGGCTGCTCGTTAACTGTGGTGAGCAGCTTGTATTTACTTGCCCAGAGAGATGAGCTCATGGGAGAAGTAAGGGCCTAAATGAGATACTTTTTCTAAAAGGTGCCGTCTTGGTTGTTCATAGAAACATTAATTGCCTTTCCATGGATTCTGGGAGCAACTTAGACGGATCCACTGAAGGTTCAGAATGTCAACATTCTGGATCACCAGCAGGCAGAGCCTTGGAGCCGGGGTCTTAGCCCGGCCCCTCAAGAGCTGTGTGGTCCAGAGCAAAAGTGACTTCCCCTCTCAGCTCTTCCTCTGCAAAACGAAAGGATTCATCGTTTTTTTGTTGTTTGTTTGTTTTCATTAAACACGCATCTCTTGAGCATCTGACAGGAGCCCGTGGCTTTGCTAGGTACTGAGGATAAAATGCTAACAGACCCGTCCCTACCCCAAGGAAGTCAAAGGGTCCTGATTGGAAAGAACTGGGAACCCCAGCAGTTGCAGTGCAGGGCGAAGTGAAGTGAATGCCCAGAATGCCCTGCTGGCAATAAGCTGACATTTGCGAGCCTGGGAATGTCACTCAGGACAGACTTCTTGAAGTAGGTGGCCCTTCAACTGAGCTGAAGGGAAGAGAAGGGCATTGCAGGCTGAGGGATGATCCCAGGGTGCCCCCCAGATCTAAAGTGTGGAGTCTGTCATCGAGGTGCGTAGCCTCTCCAGAGGTGTCACTGTGTTCCATCCTAGCCGTGTCCTGATCTGGGGCCGTGGCTCTTGGGATAGTCTCTTCCCCAACCTGACTGCAGGGGAGGAGCCTCCAGGAAGATTTAGCTGTCATTCCCCCTCTGCTCTTGCCCACAATGTGCTTTTGGCTCTTCCTGCTTCTGGGTCTGTCTTCTCCAGCTGTCCTGGCTTCTAAGTTTCATTGGATCATGTTTAAATACAGATTACCTGGTAGTCACAGTTTATGCCAGAAATGGTTTCCTGACTATCTCATATTATTTAAAATTCACATAATTTGAGACTGGTGTTTCCAAAACGTAAGTTTATAGGAAGGGAAATATGGTTTTCAAAGGCATACATCTACAGCCACTGAACAATATGTTTGCATGGTTTGAGCCAAGTCCTAAAAAATGCATAATAACGTGTACACAGTAGTAGTGTTTAATACCATCTAACTGGCTTTCTAGAATTTTTAAATTTCTAATATGCTTTCCAGCACTAGCCCTAGCACCTGCTTCTTAATGAATGTATAAATACCATTTCTATAGAATGTCTTTTAGAAGATTTTAAGTTAAAATAGCAGTAAGTATTGAGATAACAACCCAGTAGTCACCAAAGTCACATGTGTTCTGAGACATGAAACAAAAGTGTTGGGCATAGAATGCTGATAAAGAATGGCTGGTTGTTCCTTTTACCTGGGAAACTAGCCCAGATTACTAGTAATTAGAAGGGAGTGGGGCCTCAGTTTAGCAGAGGGGACAGTTCACTTTCTGCCAACTTAGAAATTATATTGTTCTAGACCATTTTTTTAATTTAGAGGGATTTGAATTTTTGCACATAAAACGAAGCTTTTAAAAACACTTTTATATCATATGATTCCAAATGCATATAAATTCAAATCCACATAAAATGTAACTGCCCTATGTGTTTACCAAAGTGCAAGGGATTGGGGGAGGGCAGGCCAGTGGATGCGCAGATGTTTATTGAAAGCCGGCCTGGAGTACTGTCAGCCCCACTTCCTCATTTACAGATGGAGAAGCGGGGACCCTGGAGGCAGAATCAGGAGTCCACACTGGTTCGATCTTTTCTTTGTTGTGTTTTGGTTTGGAGTCAGGCATTACAGCTCCGTTTGGAGTCTGGGTCTTCCAGCACAGTGCTTATCACACAATATGGGCTCAAAAAATTCTGGAAGCAGCCTTGAGTGAGGGACTTGTGTGGTTTCTACACTGCACCTTAGCTTTAGAGCAGGACGCTTCTGTCTTCGTCTGTTCAGGCATCTATTACAACAAAATACCAGGCCGTGGGTAGCTCACATACAACAGAAACTTACTTCTCACAGTTCTGGGAGGTCCAAGATCAAGGAGCTGGCAGATTTGGTGTCTAGTGAGGACCCACTTTCTGGTTCAAAGATGGCACCTTCTAGCTGTGCCCTCACATGGTGGGAGAGGCCAGGCAGCTCTTTGGGGCCTCTTTTACAAGGGCCTGAACCCCATTCATGACATAATCACCTCCTGAAGGTTCTGCTTCCTAATGCCATCGCATTGGCGGTTAGGATGAATTTTGAGGGAGGACCACAAACATTAGGACCATAGCAGCTTCTTTGGTGTGAGGAGAGGCTATGACATGGTTTCCTGGCAAGGGGGAATTCAGCAGTGACAGGGCAGGAAGGTGCTCATTGTGAAATCTCTGGTTGGGCCATGGCTTCTAGCCACATCTCTCTCCTACTAGGAACCAAGGAGCAGCTCTGACTTCTAGATTGACTGGATCAGGCTTCCCCATCAACAGTTTAGGAATGCTTGCTTAGAAACTCGAAGGCCATCAAATAAAGGAGAAACATTTGAGACGGTCTCTTATCCAAATAAACTGAAAAATTGCTAAGTATATAACAAGTTGCATTTTTTTTTTAAAGTACAAAGCTGGTTATACAGACACCCAACATGAGCATGAGTGGTGGTGAATTTGCCCTTCTCACTTAGGACTGAGAAGACCTCAGACAAATTGCTGAATGACGTCCTTCAATGACCTCAATACCTACCCGTACAGTTGCCACGAAAATTCAATGCAACCTTTGTGTCAGGTTCCTGGACTTGTTTTGTGCAGTATATTCATTCCTCCCTTCTAGATACAAATATTATGTCAAAAGCCAAACTTAGATAAAAATGGCTTTCACAACTAAAACTGAGAAATTCTATCATCAAATAATTGGAGTTTAGACTTGATGCGTAATCTCAAAAGTAAATGCTAATGAGAAACTGGTACATCTAGGTTCACAAACAGTCCTGGATTGGACAGTGTGTCACTGGTTTTCACACCAGCTTTTTGGTGAAGTGTGGGGGAAATGGAATCTTGCCTGTGGTCCCTGTTGTTTTTTTCCCTATTTCCCACTTTTATGATCGTAGAGAAATAACTCACATAGGAAATACAGGCTCAGGAAACAGAAAGCACAGCAAACTTTTAGTGGTATGGGTTGGTCCCCAAAACTACAAGACCCATTTTTATAAATTTTTATGATATTAATAATATAAGAATTGATTTTTTATTATTTCAAAAGCCTACTCACTGTAAGAAGTTTTTTTTCTTTTCTTCCCTTTCATTTCCTTTCTCTCCTCCCTCCCTCCCTTTCTTCCTCCCTCCCTCCCTTCTTTCCTCCATCTCTCTTTCCATTCCTCCCTCCCTCCCTCCCTCCCTCCCTCCCTCCCTCCCTCCCTCCCTTCCTTCCTTCCTTTCCTCCCTTCTTCCCTTGCTCCCTCCCATCTTCCTACCATCCTTCCTTCCTTCCTTCCTTCCTTCCTTCCTTTCTTTCTTTCTTTCTTTCTTTCCTTCCTTCCTTCCTTCTTTCTTTTCTTTTCTTTTCTTTTTCTTTTCTTTTCTTTTCTTTTCTTTTTCTTTTCTTTCCCTTAAACTTTGGCTCTGAGTACTTATTTCCAGACAGACATCTAGGGCGGCTGTGTTGATCTCCAGACTCCACCAGCAAGAGGGTGAATGGGATCTCTCTCTCTCTATAGCCCTAGGGGCATTAGTCAATGTGAATCTACAAATGCTATTCTTAATTTCCTTTCTTTGATTATTAGTGAAGTTAATGGGCACTTAAATTTTTTCTTCTGTTAAGGTCCTTTCCTGCCCTTCAGGAGCCATCTGCTTTGTTCTGTTTTATGATATATTGAATACGTGATGTGTGATCCAAAAATGTCTTTCTCAGTTCATCGCCATCACCAGTATATTAATGAAAGCACTCTTCTCTTCAGCCTTCATTGCTATTGACTTTTTGTTTTCCTTTTTGTGTATCCTCTTGAGGGTTCTAATGGGACACTGGAAGGAGGGATATCAGAGGTGTCTCATCAGCTGCTTTGCAAACTCCACCACACAGACTTGCGGATTTCTTCTTTCTTTATGCCACTCAAAAGAATGTCAGACCACAGGGGCATAAAAGTTGGCATAGCCTGATTGGGGAAATAATATACTTTAAATTCATTAAAAAACAAAGATTAGCTGGGCACAGTGGCTCATATCTGTATTTCCAACACTTTGGGTGGCTGAAGTGGGAGGATCACTGGAGCCCAGGAGTTCGAGACCAGTCTGGGCAACATAGACCTCGCTTATACAAAAAAAAAAAAAAGGAAAAAAATTAGCCAGGGACAGTTGTGCGTGCCTGTAGTCCCAGCTACTCAGGAGGCTGAGGTGGGAGGATTGCTTGAGCGCAAGAAATGGGGGCTGCAGTGGGCCGTGATCTCACCACAGTACTCTGGCCTGGGTGACAGCACAAGACCCTGTCTCCAACAACAAAGACTCACTGGTAAATGTTTCTCTCTTACTATTTTGTAAAAAGTATGAAAATATTTCTTAGGAAATAAAATAGGACAAAAATTAGATGGTTGGTGGTATCTAACACAGGGTTACAGAAATGCAGCTGGAAGAGATTTAAGGGGATCTTTAGGAAATGCTAGGATGGTTTATTTGTGTTCACTTTATTGCAAATAAACAGACTTCACTTCTATTGATTGGCAATTTTTTTTTTTTTTTTGAGACGGAGTCTCACTTTGTTGCCCAGGCTGGAGTGCAATGGTGTGATCTTGGCTCACTGCAACCTCCACCTCCCAGGTTCAAGAATTCTCCTGCCTCAGTCTCTTGAGTACGGTACCTGGGACTACAAGCGTGTGCCACCACACCTGGCTAATTTTTGTATTTTTAGTAGAGATGGGGTTTCACCATGTTAGCCAGGCTGGTCTCGAACTCCTGACCTCAGGTGATCTGCCTGCCTCGGCCTCCCAAAGTGCTGGGATTATAGGCGTGAGCCACCACACCCGGCATATTTGCAATTTTTTTTAATAGATACTAGTTATTCAGCTCACCAGCTTAATTTTAAGTCTCTCTGTGGCATGTGGTTGTACATATACACGTTTTCTCTTTCCATATTAGCTTCTTACATATCTTTGTTTACATATTAAGAAGACAAATTTTCTTGGTCATTGTTTCTGTAAAACTTTCACATCACCTTGAACATAGTCATTTAGACCATGGAGCAGTGACCCAAGCTTCAGTTAATCCGTGACGGAGCCTTAACTAATAATTTAAAAGGTTTTCTTACATCTAGAAGAATACCTGTGTACCACTTGGCCAATCAGAGGAAACTGTAGGTAGAAAGAATATTCGGGATTTATTCCCTTCCCTGTGATTCTGTTCTATTCACTATCAGAAGAATATCCCATTTCATTTGATGTCTGTAGTTTTGTTTAGTTTGTGCCTGACAGAACCACCTGTGTTAGTGAGCTATTGCTGTGTAACAAATGACCCCAGAACTCAGTGGCTTTAAACAGCAAGCATTGATTATCTCACAGTTTCTTGGATGTGGCTTAGCTGTGTCCTCTGGTTTAGGGTCTCCCACAGGGCTGCAATCAAGATATGGCTGGGGCTGCCATCATCTCAAGACTGGGCCCGGGGAGGATTCTCCTCTCAGCTCACTCAGGGGCTGTTGGCCAGAAGCCACCCTCATGAGCCTTGCCATGTGAGCCTCTCCATAGGGCTGGGATTTTGTTTTTTGTTTTTTGTTTTTTTGAGACAGAGTCTCACCCTGTCACCCAGACTAGAGTGCAGTGGCATGATCATAACTCACTGCAACCTTGAACTCCCTGTTTCAAGCGATCCTCCTGCCTCAGCCCCCTGAGTAGCCAGGACTACAGGCGTGCATCACCATGGCCAGCTAATTTTTAAGGTTTTTCTTTTGTAGAAACAGGGTCTTGCCATGTTGCCCAGGCTGGTCTCAAACTCCTGGGCTCCAGTGATCCCCCTCCCTCGGCCTCCCAAACTTCTGGGATTGCAGGCATGAGCCACTGCACCTGGCCTCCATTGGGCTGTTTACAGCATGGCAGCTGGCTTCCCTCCGAGAGGGCCAATGAGAGCTCCAGAGGCAGGGAGCAAGACAGAAGTTGCAGTGTTTTTTGTAACCTAATCTTGGAAGTGACACCCCACCACCTTGACCACTTTCTAGAAGCAAGTCATTAGTCCCAGCCCCCAGGCAAGGCGAGTGTGAAAACCAGGAGGAGGGATCAATGGAAGCATCCAGCAGGCTCCCTACCGTATTGTGGAGTGACTCTTCCCTGTAGGGCCTCATATAAAATGATTCTGGGCATCAGAAGGCCTGGGAACATTGCTCCCTCCCGTCCCACTGCTGCTGGATGCCTGCGAGGGGACAGGGCTTCCTACCATTAAACCACAGGGCCAGCTACTGGCTTCCAGCTGCTTCCACCTTCCCCATCAGACTTCTTTCTTTCATGGGCTTTTCAGGAATTGCCTATCCTGTCCTCTCCGCCGGGATAAACTGATCACTCTTCTGCCTGAATTATTCTCTGAGCTTTGAAGCCAAACTTCTTCCTACTCCACTGAACTCTGAACCAAACACAGAATGCTCATAAGCTTTCACTTTAAACTTCAGGGAAACCCACTGGACTAAACCAAAACAAGAAACAGCAGGGAAGTGTGAAGGTTACCAGAAATCCAGGTGAGTACAAGACTGGCTCTCCTAGCAGGAAGGAAATACTATTTATGGACTATCTCTTGCCTACCTAGAGGCTTTGCTAAGGGTCTCCCTGATGCTAACTCATCAATTCTCAAAACAACACTACAATAAGACTATCATGACCTATAATTGACATTATTCCAATTTAACACATGATGAAATGAAGACTCAGAATAAGGGACTTTCCCAGGCTTCTGGAGTAAGTGCCCCAGTGCCCGGCGTCCACTCCCAGTGCCTGAGGCCTTCCCACAACACCACGACCCTCTTCTGGTGGCCTCTGTCCCCATCTCCCAGATTATCCTGGTATGGAAGTGAGTCAGGTTCTTGTCTTAAACGTTGGTCTACTCGGTCTTGACAAGGTAAAGTTCTGTAGACTCCAGACAAAGCTAGGGATAGGATAGTACCTCTCTTGTATCTCTTCTAGAACCTTCTTTTCACTCTCTCATTTAGCCTTGGGTTGTTTTTCTCTTTCACACACGAGTGTCTTCACATTTGGGAGTCTTGCCCACCCTCAAGCTCGTGGGTTAGGAAGGGGCTTCCCTACATGGCCCTACGTCTGTGCTAGTCTCAGGGTGGCCTCTGTGCTCCTGCCTACTTCAGCGACTGTGGGAACCCATCTTCTCTGAATGGACTGACACACGTGCGCCAGGGCTCGGCTGAGAAGGCTGAAGGGCAGTGTGGACAGCCAGATTATTCACCAACCGCTGGACCAGGGACCTGGGTAGATGTTAATTTTTATTTGCTGGCTCATAGAGAGAGGTTCTAGGGATGTGGGGAGAGGGGCCGGGGCAGTGGATGGTGGCCGGGAGCACTGAAGGACTTGGGGCAGCATCTTTAGCAGCTGGCCTCAGAGTGTGCTTCTGAATAGGTACTTGATTACGTACCTCCCCTCCTAAGAGTAGTAGTTTATAATACTGTTGGGGTCCAGGACCCCTTTGAGAATCTATGGATCCTCCCACACAATGTGAAACCATGGCCGTAGGTAAGGCCAACGTTCTCTTCTATCGCTGCAAGCTGGTGACCCTCAGCTGAGCCACCCTGCAACTGGGTGCCTGAAAGCAGATTACACCAGCCGGGGGGCCATGGCTGCATCAGTGCCCCCATCTCCTACCAGACTTGGGCACCTCCCATCGACTCCAGGAGCTCCCCAGCTCCTGTTTCTACTCTGAAGGAGAGGCTGCATTCTCAGCTCATGTGGCGAACAGGAATAGTTGATATTCCTTTGCTCAACTGACCTGTTTTCCTATTTTCCCACCCAGATTTTCCATTCAAAAATCTCTTCAAAAAAGTGCTTTGCAGAGCTTGCTCTTATAGTCAGACAATATTGAAGTCCTTTCATCTTGCACCATGCAGCCTCAGAGTCTCCACCCAGGGGAGAGTAAGAGTCAAAACCTCAACTGATGGAAACTTCTGGTAGAAAAAGCCTTCCAGAACTGCCCAGAGTAAGCACTACAGTCACGAGGTTTTGCCACAGAGCGTATAGGCTCAGCTAGAGCATTTTCAAGCTGTTTTTCTGTGGCCTTGCTTGGTGGACCTCTGCTTTTTGACCTCAAGTTTCACAAGTGCTTTAAACATGAAGCAGTGTTTTCTTGGCAGCCATGTAACGGTCTCTCAGGAAGTTGTTTCTGGAAATGGAAAGACTGTTCTCAGAACTTGACAGTTCTTTAGGGCTCCAGTTATTCTGAATGTTGAAGCCAACTGGACAATGTATGACGCAAGCCTAAGAGGGATAGGGATGTAGCTGTAGGAGGGGCTTTCTGATCCTTCTCTCTCTCCATTGTATCACTCTGCAGTTTCCCTGTTGATTCTCCAACTTTGCCATCTGCTTGGCAAAATTCAAGAAAGGTGGCACTTATTTAATTGATTGTAGCTTTCATGGCAGTCACACCTTCCAAGCCTTCCATCAGGCCAGCCAGGCATGATTTCCTTTGTTTCAGTCCCTCTTGGTGTTCTCTAATTAAATATGCTTTTTCCAGATGTTTCTCCACCGTATTCTTTAAGGTTGTTTCCACCATTTTTCCCTAGATCTAATGTCCATTATTTTGCCTTTTGCCCTTCTCTTTTTAGTAATCAGTTAATAATCGTGTTTGCCATGGGGAAGTCCTCAGGAATACTTCTGTTGTATTTCAAAATGAGCTGAACAGTTTTTTTGTTGTTGTTGTTTTTTAATCTCAGAAGTGTGTGGCTTAAAAGAAAAGTAAAGAAATGATATGAAAGTTTAACCATAGATGAATATACTTGGAAAAGCACAAGTAGATGAAGACTGGGGATGGGAGTGGGCATTAATCAATTAATTTAAAAAGCACGATAGGGTGGGCGCAGTGGCTCACACCTGTAATCCCAGCACTTTGGGAGGCTGAGGCGGGCAGATCACGAGGTCAGGAGATCGAGACCATCCTGGCTAACATGGTGAAACCCTGTCTCTACTAAAAATACAAAGAAATTAGCCAGGCGTGGTGGCAGGTGCCTGTAGTCCCAGCTACTCGGGAGGTTGAGGCAGGAGAATGGCAAAAACCCGGGAGGCGGAGCTTGTAGTGAGCCGAGGTCGCACCACTGCACTCCAGACTGGGCGACAGAGCAAGACTTCATCTCAAAAAAATAAAATAAAATAAAATAAAATAATTAAAAAGCACAATTAGATGAAGACTGGGGGTGAGAGTGGGCATTAATTAATTAATTAAAAAAGCACAATTAGATGAAGACTGGGGGTGGGAGTGGGCATTAATTAATTAATTTAAAAAGCACAATTAGATGAAGACTGGGGGTGGGAGTGGGCATTAATTAATTAATTATAAAAGCATAATTAGATGAAGACTGGGGGTGGGAGTGGGCATTAATTCCTCAACAGCACATGGTATTTTTCAGGTTTCTCCCAATGAGTTCAAAGAGTTTCATTGAAAGTATATCCTTGTAGTTGCTAGTGTCTAGGAGACACACTCAGACTTCCAGTTTTACTCAGCACCTACCACCTGTACTCTTCTGAGGTTCTTTGCCATTCCTGCTGGTCAGGAGTGGATACTGGAGCAATAGATACAGTTCCACACTGACACTGCAGAAGTGGAGATCTCTGGAGTCTCTGCAACCCCACCCTCTCTTCACAGGGAGCAAGTTACTTCTTGAGTATAACCTGGGAATTTTAGAAAGTTTATCTTTTTTCATAAATGAAAGTTTATGTTTTAGCATTGTACTGGTCAGAATCCTCCAGTATTTAAGCAAAACTAACCAGTACGGTCTTTGTTTAGTATACATGTATTTTGCAATAACAGGAGCAGTCATCACCATTTAGTGTCAAGCTTGATTGACAGGGCCCCTGGGAATCTGTGGTTTCTGTTGTGTAGAAACCACAGAGCTTGTTATTCTTCAACTGGAATTGGGAAGCGGAGCCCAAGAGAAATGTTCTTGACCTTCAGTCACTAAGGCGTTACTACCAGACTGCTGGCAATCCATCAATGAGCGACTTTGTCACCCAAGACTCCGAGCTTGTCTTCTCCCCAGACTGGACAAGGCACCTTCACGCAGAATAGTTTCAGGTTTCACTGTGTTCTTAATTACATTTAATGAGGATCATTGAGATCCTTATAAAAAGGTGAAAACAGGTACAGCTGTTATTGTATTCCACTAAGAAAATGTGTAGAGTGCAAAACAGAAGTGTAGGCCTCATTGTGGTACAATTGAGAGACCATGCCTTGGGCCCATGGGCTTTGATGGCGGCCACATCTGATTGACTTCTGGTTATGAAACTTATTAGCTAAACCAGGCTCAAAGTAATGAACCTCTTATAAGTCTTATCAGTCAAATTAATGAACCTTAGTTTCCTCATCTGTGAGATGGTCTCAGTAATACCAATGTCATAGACAATTAGCTGTGTACATTTCTGTAGACATTATATGAAATGTTATATGTGAAACTGCCTGCAATATAGGTACTCAATCAAAAAAATGTGAATTTTCATTTGCTCCCTGCAGTCTTACTATCTGGCTGCCTGTTACTTTGAAAACCATGTGTATGAAACAGTAACAGGCTACCTAAAAAGAAAAAAAGAAAAAAGAAAATGATGTGGGACCACATCTGTGTGTCTAGCAGGCATGGACCTTCCCTCTGGATCTGTTTGTTCTGACCTTGTCTTCTAATTGAGCTGGATAATTACATGGTAGGAACTCTCCCCAACATCAGGGCCGAGAAATGCTGTCACCATGTTTTAATGCAAAGGCACTTTGCCAAGGATAATAGTCGATACCACGGGCATTGTTTTAGGTGAGATAAAGGAATCATCTGTGAATGAATGCTGTGTCCCTTTAGAGAAGGAAAAAATGAATCGGCAGCCCCAACAGCAACCCAATATCCAAAGACTTTCAGTGAATTTCATTTTGTTCATTTTTCTACCAAATATGCACTTTTGAAGCTGTCTTTGCCTGATAGTCTCCAACTTGGTGTCACAGGGCTCGTGGGCTTTAAGCTGTTAACCTTGTTTTATTTCTCCCCTTTTTGGAAATAGAACCATTTTCTCCTGAAATACCTTTGTAGCCTTTTTTCTTTTCTACTCAAAAGCACCTTATTTCCATTTTGCATAATTATTATGTACTATTTTTCAAATTATGATGTCTCTGCTATTGGAAACAACATTGTTTAGTGAGTTTGTGGGTGAAATAGCTTAGCCTTCTGCACTCACATGTGTCTCTGTCTGAACGACTGGATATTTCTAACCTGTATTGGTCCTATATTATCTAATTCCTTGAGGTTTATGATGACGGATATGTTAAAAAAAAAATCTTCAATTCCTCTTTATTCTTAGGGAAACATTGTAAAGCAAAATTTACTTAGAAATTCTTCCTACTTTGCAAAAGAAAGAAGGTGGCCCTTTTTCTCCCCCAGGAGAGAGATCGTTAGCTCAGAGGAGCGCTGTCAGCAGAGGCTGGAGCACACGGAAGTGGGGTCTGCTCAGGTCCCTCTCGGTGTTCATTGCTTCACCTGCATGACGACCTTTGCACCCATCGCTTTGCAGTTCGCCACCAAACGTGGACCCAGATGTCCCGGGTCTGCTCTGATGATTCCACAACATTCAATTCAGCAAATATTTGTCGAGTGCCTATCATGTAGCAGTGTGTGAGGCACTGGGGATGCCACAGTGACTAAACAGCCTACAACGCCCCTGCCCCCCCCGGACATGCCGTTCCAGAGTCCAGTCCAGGGAGGATTACACTGTGCTTCCGCCAGTCACTCGGTGCACCGTCCGAAGGAGGCCTGGAAACATTAGGGTCAGGGAGGGTCTGGGGCTCCCTGTCCTTGCCAACACCCTTCCTCTCTGCAGGTCTCACTCCTGCCTCTGACACCCCCTCCAGAAAGGCTTCACCAACACCCCCCGCTCCGGCCCACTGAGTTGGTTCCCTCCACCGTTCCTCAACACCTGTGTCTCCACACTTGCTCTTTTGTTTGTAGTGTGCTGATTTGCCCCACCCCCCAACCCCCACACTGGAATGTGAGCTGCCAGGAAGCGAGGGTCTTGTCTTGATCTTCCTGCTTTCCTAGCACATGGTGCAGCTTGCTGGCAGGTAGTGTGTATTCAGTGGCTGTGTGCCGAGTGCCTGAATGAAGGCGTGAAGGAGACTCAGTCATCTCCTGCATCCACGGTACTCGTAGACTTGTTCTCCAGCTCTGGAAAAACTTTCCAAGACTCAAATGTGCCTTTTCCCCAAAGGCCTTGAGTTACTGCATCTTCGTAACGCCGAAGACACTTTTCCGTAGCGGTAACATCTGGACTTTGTGCAGTGTGACTGTCCCAGAGGGCCTGGCCTCGTTCTGCGGGATGGGCGTGGGGGTGCCAGCTCCCTGGCAGAGGCCCCAGTCCTGGGTAAAGCTGTGCTCACTGCCTGCCCACCCTGGGTGAGCAATTGAAGCCCTAGTGTGGGGCCCCTGGCCATGGAAGCACTGGGGAAGGAGCCGCTGGGGGAGGAGGAGCAGGCACAGCAGGCGTCTCCTGGTGGCACCAGCAGCCACACCCCTGGGCCACCTCCCAGCAGGCAGCCTGATGGCCCCAGGGCCTTGGGATGGGAGGAGAGCCTCAGTGGTGTTCAGTGTGCAATCTGAAACAAGGCAGGGCATTTTCCTTCCAACAAGGTTTTCTTGAACATGTAATGATTAAACTAATTCATATTTTGTTGAAAATGTCTCTGTTGAGCAATTCATTGCCAAACAGTGCTCACTGATGAGCTATCCAGCGTTTGGGTTCAATTCCATGAACATTGCCGGTGTTGAGGAGATTTAATTTGTATAGCATTTGATTCTTTCTCATTCCTGAACGCCTCCTTTCCCATCTTGCCATCCCTAGACCACCCGCAACCCAAGGAAAGAAAAAGGGAATCTAGCAGGCCTCTGAGATTCCGGATCTCCAGGGGGCTTGCTGGAACTGAGGGGAGTTGGGCCCTATATGTGTGGCCTTGTCCTGTACTTTAAATAAATACCCAGTTTAAGACAGAAATCTGCAAGGATGACAGAAGAACTTTCTCTAGTCACATTCCTCCAAGAAGTTGGGTACAGACCAGAGCTGAGATAGGAGATAACCTGGGTTTTGCCTTCTCAAATGTATGATCCTCCATACCCCAAAACAATTAGACTAATTAAGGTATTGTAAGACAACTTGCAAAAATCAAGAGCTTCAGCCCGCTGAGGTTTCAATCCAACAGAGAATATACATTATCGTCAAGCATCTTCTTTATGGATAGTTGAGTTTTTAAAAGCACAGGCAGATTTTAATATTTCGGCAATTATCTTCTTTTTTAGTTCAACAAGTACTTATGCATTTATTTTTAATAACATATTTCTCTACTACAAAAATAAGCCATGCTTTAATTAAGAAAATTTGGAAACCACCAAAACGCACATATGCAGAAAATCACCCAGGGATAATGAGATAATGGGGCACATTCTTCTAGTTACAAATATAGATGTGTTTGAAACACAAATAGGATTGTCTCCGCTGTACTTTGTATCCTGTGTTTTTTTAGATGTCTCTTCATTTCATCTAACAAATAGTTATTGTAAGGTCAACTATGTGCTAGACTGAATTCTAGGCACTGGAGGTTACATCAGTGAACCAAGCAGATACACGTCCTCATTGCATTGAGCTTTTTTCTAGTGGGGTCAGACAGTAAGCAAGGAAGTATATATATTAACAGTGTGCCAAGTGGGGATAAGTGCTATGGGAAGAGTAAAAGCTGGAAGGGGTTGGGGTTGGTGGAGACGGGATGGCTGGTCATAGGAGGGCTGCAGTTTGGAGATTGTGTGCAGCACAGTCAGGGAAGGCTCTACAGAGATGGTGATATTTGAGCAAAGGCTGGGAGGAGCTCTATGGCTCCCTGTAGGGAGGGAGTTCCAGGCAGGGGGAAGGCACAGGCAAAAGCCCAGAGGAGAGGCAGGCCTGGCTTGTTCCAGAGCTGCAGGGGTCGGCAGGAGGGAGGAAGATGAGGTCAAAGAGGTCACAGGAGCCAGATGGCTTTGTAGCCTCGGCAAGTACCTGGCTTTAGTTCTGAGCAGAGGAGGGACGTGCTCTGGCTTGAGCTGGTGCATTGGGCACGGAGTGCAGCCTAGGGGGAAGCAGAAGAGCCGGGCCATGCTTTGATGGGCTCAGGAGGCTGCAACGTGGAAAGCCCTCAAGCAGACACCTCTGCCTCAGGCTCTAAATGTGGAGATGTTTTAGGAATACTGTGGCCAATTTAGTTCACTTGCATTTTTTAAAATGTATGCACAATAATGATATATGATTTTTAAATTGGTGTCTAATTAAGTCTATAATAACTCTTTCAATAAGTATGAAATAAAGATCCCTTGTGGTTAGGGAATATTATCTGATTTGGCACATTTCCCCTTAATGATACATCTTAAAATGTGGGGTACCTTAGATTGGATGAAACAAGAATTATGAATAGAGCTATGACTTTCCTATACAGAGTTTCCAGAAGGGAGGCAGAATGGACACCCTTCAAATATAAGCCAGGGTCAGAGGCAGCTAAACCTTAGAATGCTGTTTAGTGCCAGGACAAATCCCAAATCACTACCCTGGACGCTTGGTATGTGCAGGTCTTCCCAGCACACACACCAGCAGCTCTAGGAAGAGCTTTCTCGGAAGGGCCCTGGCTTGCCCTGACGATGCCTTACGGTTCCAGGATGCACAGAAAGCAAAATGGAGTTACTTTGGCCAATTAGCTCAGCAGCCACACATGGTCTGAAAATGACAAAACATTCACCTGAACCAGGACTCGAATGGGAAATCTGGGGCATGTGGTTGCCATGCCTAAGTAATGTCTGGACATTAAAGAGCAACTTTTGGGGCAAAACAGTGTTGGCTTTCCCTCCCATGATTCACATGCTACCCAGAAGCCTCTGGCTTCCTGGAATTCTATTTCATTTCATTTCATTTCATTTCATTTCATTTCATTTCATTTCATTTCATTTCATTTCATTTCATGTTTTTGAGACAGGGTCTGGCTCTGTTGCCCAGGCTGGAGTGCGGTGGCATGATCTTGGCTCACTGCAGCCTCAGCCTCCCAGGGTCAAGCCAGCCTCCCACCTCAGCCTCCCAAGTGGTTGGGACTACAGTCACACACTACCACAGCCAGCTGGTTTTTGTATTTTTTTTGTAGAGACGGGGTTTCGCCATGTTGCCCAGGCTGGTCTCAAACTCCTGAGCTCAAGCAATCTGCCCACCTCAGCCTCCCAAAGTGTTGGGATTATAGGCACTCCCGGCCTCTTCCTGGAATTTTAAATGCAACTCAGAATCACTTGGCAAAAATGTTGATGCACCACAATATTCACTAGTAAGCTCTTGTACATTCTCAATAGTAGATGAGTAAATTGGGCTGTTTACACACTATGATTTGAAGCCTGTATTATAAAGCTACAGATTCCCAGGTCCTGTATCTTAAGTAGACCTCTCTGGGTGGTCTGGGAGGCCCTGAGTTAAGAGTAAGGACACTAACTCTGTCTTGCATGCTTGGAGGGTGTTTGGGCCCCACGGGCAGAAGAGAGCACTCTCCTTGTCTCCCCTCCTCCGCTCTCTGTTCACGCAAGTGCTTGAAGCCTGGAGCCCCTCTCCTCACTCATGAACTCTGCAGGTTCAAGGCAAGACTGTGCTGTGTTTGGAGACATCCCTGTTTAACTCTGCATCTAGCCAGAAGTCCTGTAGGGAAAAACCAGATTTCCTAAGTGACATTCCTCGACTCGGTAGGGTGACCTTCACCTTCCTCCTCCCTTAGCAAGCCTGAAAGCTACAGTTCTCACCCGACAAAGGTAGACAGAGAGACGCGTGTGAAAAAGAGCTGTTGAGCTTTGATGAAACTGAACATCAAGTTTGTAGTCTACAAATGGGTATGTGGAGTTCTACTGTCACCTCCATGCTCTCTGGGTTTGAGCTTTTCCTTCCAGCTTGCTTTGCTCATATTTTCCACGTTAGTCCCTGGGCTCATTGATTTAAATTCCCTCCCTTCATACAGGCATGCATAGACTCCTGGCTCTGTGCGTCTGGGGTAATTAACACGATTAGTCACTAATCGTGCTTTCCAGGCACGGGGTCCTGCCATCGTGATCTTGTAGGGGAATGTCACTCTTGGGAGTTTTATGAAATCATCTATTTGGTTTTTCCTATTCTGGAGTTGTGAGTGGATATGATTTCTGAATCTACTTTTTCCTCTATTTGTCTCCAAGTAATGCGCTCATCTTTGCCTTGTGGTGGTAGATTTATTTCTAAGTATGTGATTAAGGAACAAATCACAAAATGAATGGTGCTTATGTTCCTGCCTGTAAGTGAAAAGTACCTTTGTTTTGCAGTGACTCATTTGAAAAGGAAAAGGGGTCATTTCTATTGCAACCCTTAAAACCTCCATTTCTCACAATGCTACTCTGATTATTTCAGATGTGTGAGTCATTGGCTCAGGTTATTTCATTTATGATTGTTTGCCTTAGCTACTTATTATTGAAATGCTTTGCAATCGAGAATCTGAAACTTAAAATGCTAGGTTACTTTGTGATTTCTGCAAAGTAGCAACTCCCTGGATTGGAGTGTGGCAATAATGCAGCAAGGCCACTTCCTCTTCCTGTGTAATAATAAATGTATGCCTCGTGGTTATGTCTAAAAAACAGTTATTCTCATGTTTATGCTTTCATACGTACAGGACAGACCAAAAATATCAAATGTAGGCCATTTGCTGCAGTCAGGAGTCATGAGCTACTATTAACAAACTTTTTTTATGTGTATCCATTTATAGACAAAACATTAAAAGAGGACTCAAATTGTTTTGATACAGGAAAAGATTCTCTACTTCTTGTTCCAAAGGGCACTTGGTTTTAATGTCTCTGCTATATCTTGTTAATATTGTTCTTTTGTTTTGTTTAGTTTTTAAGTTAATCTTCTCCCAAAGAATGTCCTCTGGAAAACAGAGTGACCTAATTACCCAATAATGAAATCCATGTTTCTTATCCAAATGTTTAAGAAATTAATTTAGTCTTAGGGGTTTTGTTCAAGGAATCAGCATTATGTCAAATTCTAACCTGTAAGCCAGTCTCTAAACATGAATATAGAATTAATGACAGTATTGATTCTGGGATGTCAGTGTCTGTTTGATGCTAAAATGATTTTATATCTATCTATCTGTCTGCCTGTCTGTCTGTCTATCTATCCCTCCATCTATCTTTTTTTTTTTTTTTTTGAGACAGAGTCTCGCTCTGTCGCCCAGGCTGGAGTGCAGTGGCGGGATCTCGGCTCACTGCAAGCTCCGCCTCCCGGGTTCACGCCATTCTCCTGCCTCAGCCTCCCAAGTAGCTGGGACTACAGGCGCCCGCCACTACGCCCGGCTAATTTTTTGTATTTTTAGTAGAGACGGGGTTTCACCGTTTTAGCCGGGATGGTCTCGATCTCCTGACCTCGTGATCCGCCCGCCTCGGCCTCCCAAAGTGCTGGGATTACAGGCGTGAGCCACCGCGCCCGGCTCCATCTATCTTTTTAATGACCAATATCAAATATTTAGTTCTGAGCAGAGGAAGGATGCACTCTGATTGTGTGGTCTCAGATAATATAGCGCCCAGAAAACAGTTCCATTTTTCATGTATAAACATCAATGCACAAAAACAATTTTTACTAAAGATTCAAAGAGATTGCTATTTGAACTGAAAAAAATTCCATATAATCTTTTGGCAGTGCTACATTTCTAATTATTACCTGGAATGAATTTCTGTACCTCTAATGTACAATGCTTTGGCAGTTTGTGCATAGGTATTTATCATCATATCCAAAATCAAACAGCTCTTGCTGATGTATATGATTGGAGGGAGAGTTCTGTAAAGGCTTCTCATCATTTTAGTATCCGGTGCTAAATTAGCTAATTTCTTTTATGTTATGAAGATGTATTCTTATTTTTCCCCCTGTCACTTTCCAGTTAATCTTTATGAAGACTAAGATGCCTGTAGCCTGTTTGCTACACTGCCCTGAGTTGTATGTAGGTCACAATTCTTGAGACAGAAATAGGATTCCATTTGGTGTTTATATCTTTGGCAGCTGCCTCATCATCTTGTATCAGATCCAGGCCCTTGGGGATGGAGTCTTCCTCAACACAGATGGCACTCAGCATTGGAGTTCCCATCCACAGTTGCTCAGAAATATGGAGGAGCCATTTTCAAGTCATCTGAGCTCGGACTAAGAATTTGCCATACTGTGCACAGTGCTTCCTTCAGCTGTGAAGCCGTGCCAGTCTGTGGGTCAACTGGGATGTCCCATTAGTCTCACCTCCTTCAGGAGGTTAACATTCACAGTCATGGGCAGGGTCTGCTTATTGCCTTGTCTTTACCACAAGGACTACAGATGCTCTATGCTTTTTCTAAGCAGCATTTTGAAGGTGTCTCAGTAGCCCTGACCTCATTGTTTAGGGTTGGGAATTCTGCCACTTTTATAAAAAGTGAGTTGTTGAGGATTTCTAGGACAAACTCAGCACTGTCCTCTGTCACACACAGAGGCTGGTGGAACGGGACTGTCACAGAGCACCTAGCATTATACAGAGTTGTACCAACATATGGTGCTGCATCTACTAGAACTTTAGCACATGGAGGGTCTTAGAGGTTCCAGCAAATGCCCACAGAAGGTGAACATGAGGCACACTCGGCTCAGCGAGCTGAGGAATATCCTGTCCTCTCAGCTGAGGGAGCCTCGCAGAAGGAACTGGGCCTTAGCATCTGTCTGAAGGAAGTTACAGGACCTAGCGAGCTGACAAAAGTAGAGAAGTTCTAGACCAGGTCTGTGGTTGCTGAGGGTATGGGTGACTTGACTCTCCTCCTCTTTCAGGTGTTACAGTAAAATTCACTAAATGGATTCTATTCATTCAGCTACTCAACAAATATTTATCAAACTTAGTTGCATTTTACATCATGCGAGGCATCCTGCTAGGTGCTACAAAGGACACAAAGAGGAACAGGAGCCAGTCTCACCCTCCAGGACTTTTAATCTAGTGAGGTGCATGGAGCATGTCCACAAATAGCCACATGTCCAAGGAGAGGAGCAAAGAAAAACACGGTGGGGGTTCAGAGAAAGAAGCGATCCCTTCTGCTTAGGGGGTGAGCCCAGAAACTCTACCAAGGCTTTTCAGGAAGCGGTATTGAGCTGGAACTGGAAAGTTGGGAGCATCAACATGCTGAATGGGAGGTGCGGGTGTTCCAGACACGTGGGCTGGACAGGCAGCGCTGGCGGTGAGTGAAAGCGGGTGCCTGCCTGAGACGCCCAAATGTTAGGTGTGGCCATTGCTGGGATTCAGGAGGGGGCAGTGAGAGAGAGGGAGAGAAGGTGACTGTGGGGGACTTGGACACCAGATAAGGAGCTCGAGCTTCATTTGGTAGGAACGGCGGAAGCATGGAGGGCTTTTGAGCAGAGACACGTGTGATTGGAGCTGGCGGTGGTGGTTGGGACAGATTGAAGGAGGGGATCATGGTAGGCAGGTATGAGGTCACTGTTCTAGGCTGGGTGTGGTGGCTTATTCCTGTAATCCCAGCACTTTGGGAGGCTGAGGCAGGAGGATTACTCGAGCCCAGGAGTTTGAGACCAGCCTGGGCAACAAAGTGTTTCTACAAAACACACAAAAAATTAGCCAGGTGTGGTGGTGAGGACCTGTAGTTCCAGCCACTCAGGAGGCTGAGCTGGGAGAATCTCTTGAGCCCCAGGAGTTCAAAGCTGCAGTGAGCCATGATCATACCACTGCACTCCAGCCTGGGCAGCAGAGTGAGGCCCTGTCTCCAGAAAGATAATAAATAAATAAATAAACAAACAAACAGATCACTGTTCCAGCTGTCCCCCGGAGAGAAGACAAAGAGGGCTTCTGAGAGGAGGGACTGGAAGGCAAAACAGCGTGGAAGGAAGTCCCTGAGTGGGAGGAAGCTGGCCGTTTCTATTTAAGAAGAGGGAAAGAGGAAGACATTGCAAGTGGGCCATGCACCTAGGTTCCCCCGGGGCGTCCAAAGCACTCACCAATGCGAGTCTAGGTAGAGCCGGTTTAACCATCTCCTAGACCCAGAGCACATAGTCGCCTTGTAACAGAACTCTTCCTGTAGGCTCTTTCCTGCCTCCCTCTCTACTTCACCTGCTTTATTCTCCACCGTGGAGGGGCCAGAAACTGCAGCTGGCGAGCTGGGGTAGTGGAGGGGGCTTAACTTCACATCAAGGTAGAAGTTACCGTTATTCACTGGGATTATTACTCTTTCATTTGCTTAAATGGCACTGTTTGCTACTTAAAGCGACAAGGACTTCCTATTACCTTCATATTATCATCAGAGAAGTCACTAGACCTGCCTGAGATTTCCTGCGGGGACAGGAGCAGGAGCAGGTTCCCAGGGAAACACAGACAGAGGCATTTCGGATCCATACCCTGATTTGTCCAAGTGCAACAGCCCACTACGCAGTTAGAGAACCCGGCAGGCAGTAGGCCTCCCCGCGTCAACTGGACTTTGCCTTTTCCTCCTTTCTGGGATGGCTCTGAACAAATCAGTGTGTGCTCAAGTGCAAATACCAATCTACAGTGTATTATCCCTGCAGTGAGAGTGTGGCAGGGGACATCCTGGTTAGGGGGTGGAGGTGATGAGAGGCCGCAGAGGCATCAGCCTGGGGAAGTGGGGTGGCTGTGGAAGATCCCAACCCTGCAGAGAGTGCACTTGGGACAGGGAACGGTGGAGGGCAAAGCATGCTAGAACTTGCTGTAAGAGCAAGAGGCAGCCTTTGCAACTTTGAGCAGGTGGACTTTGCGGTCCACCAAGCTGCGTCTCAGACCCAAAAAGGAAAAAATAAGCACACCAAAGCCTAAGATCTACTAAGTCACCCTCACAGGAGGGTTCTGGCCATTCACAAGTAGCCATCCTTGGAGAAGCTCCATAGAGTTAAATCACAGCTGTCAACACCTGAGGTGGAACACTCTCTCCTAACCGGGTCTGTCTGGTTCACGTTGTCCAGCTGTGCCCTCGCTGAAACTGGCTTTGCTGTGCCAACATCATCTTCAAATTCATTAATCTTGAGAAGGGGGAAAAACGTGGGCTTGTTTTACTCACTGCCATTGTTCAAACTATGTCGAATTGTGAATTTAAGTTTTTTTGGAAAATTCTTTTCTACACAGTTGCTCTTTTCCCTAACCATTTTGTAACAAAAAATTCCCCCTAAAGTAGATTATTTTAGACTAAAATTATATGTATTCAGGGTTTATATATATAACATATATAGATATATATGTATGTATGTGTGTGTGTGTGTGTGTGTGTATATATATATATATATATATATAATTTCATACCAGGGTAATTTCATGCCTTCAATGTAGACTGTGTTTCTTTTTTTAACATTTTATTTGGAAATAATTTCAAACTTACAGAGAAGTTACAAGAATAAGAGTAGTACAAAGAACATCCATTCACCCTTTACCCAGATTCACCTCTTGCTAATACTTGATCCCATTTGCTCTGTTTAGACAATATTTTTTTGAGCTATTTGGGAGTAAGCTGCATTCATCATGGCACTTTATTCCTAAATACTTCGCTGTACATCTCCTCATGCTAGGAAACTTGCACAGCCACAGTCCACATTGTCAACATCAGCGATTGCTCCAGGAAGCTGTGTCTAGGTCTGCAGGCCTCTTGAAGGCTGGTGCACTAATGTTCTATCACTTGTCTCAGCAAAGGGGATCACGGCTTGTGGCTCTCAAGTCCCAGACTCGTGCCAGCATCCGTTTGCCATCCATCAGAGACCTGAACAGCAGTGGGGTGCTGGTTCCCAGGGCTTCCAAGACCAAGAGCCCTGTCTGCTTCCTAGTCTTGAGCAGAGCTGAGCTTCCCAATCCTTTCTTCTCCAGCTCCCCATCTCTGTTTTGTCTTGAGAACATAGAAGAGAATCTTCTGATGAGGTGGGCAATCTAGCATTGTTTTCCACGCCAGATGTCCTAATTCCGTGATTCTGCGTCATGTTCCCCAATGCCCATGATGTTATTTAATGTGGCGACAATGGACTGACTGTGGTCACTGCAGATCCCATCCTTCACTTAGGTCCAGGCATCTGACTGCATCAAGGGGCCACGGTAAGAACTGCTCCAGCTCTAGAATACCTGGATCTGAGACCAAATGTCAGACACTGGTTCCCAGGCTGGCTCGTGTAGAGTTTAGTCTGTCCCAGTGGCACTTCTCCCTGACTCATAACAATCCCTGCTTCACGTCAGCATGTCAGACTGACAGCAGTGAAAAGGTCGAGTTAAGAGTTGGGCCATGTTCATCCATTGATAGCTCAGATGCCCTCTGGAAAAGCATGAGATGATTCTATTCCAGCTGCTGAAATCCCTTAAATCTTCTTCCGAAACCTGCCTGCAAGTCCATTTCCATAGCTCATTCACTTTGGAATAGATTACCTCCAGAACATGGAAAATTGGTTTCTTGCCCTTTGAAAGTGTGTGTACAGTCCTCAGCGTTTGGTGCTGGCTGAAAGTTCCCGAGTCATTTGACCCAAGTGGGAAAGGCTGGCTCTCATGAAGATCATTCTAAATTGGTGTCTTCTTCTGTTATGTAATCCCAGGGGAGGGCAGGGGGATCTCATAGACTCCCGAACCGTGTTTACAGCACAGAGGACACGTGTCTATTTATACAAGCTCTGTGCGTCTTAGACTGATTATACAAGCAGGACTATTTTCATTCTTCTGCCAGCATCTTCCTGTAAGAGCAGAGGGCTTGGGCGTCATACTGGGGAGTGGGGGTTCAATTGTCTGTAAGACAGAACTGCAGACCTCCCCAAACGTAAATCTTTCACATAGATGAATTTTTAATGGAAATCAATTTCTCTCCTCCAAATAAGCTTTTGATTTCTTAGAAGATAAAGACTGCTTACTGTTGATTCCTAACATTGTATTTCCTTTCTTTTCCCCTTCTCTCCGGTCTGTCCAACCTGTCGGCAGCTGTCCGTACCTGGCGGTGAAAATCACCCCTGCCATCCCTGCAGTCGCTGGCATCCTGTTCTTCTTTGTGATGGGGACCCTGCTCCGCACCAGCTTCAGCGACCCCGGAGTCCTCCCACGAGCCACGCCTGATGAAGCCGCCGATCTGGAAAGGCAAATAGGTAACACTGAAAGTCTGCCCATGGCCTCTGGTCACTTCCCGCCTGGGCCCAGCTACAGTGGGGACGGCAGGCCGAGGGCTGTGCAGGAGGAGCTGAGCGCTGGGAAGGAAGGAGGCCAGAAGTCAGCGTTCCTTAGCTCGCTGGGTGGGCAGGATGAGCTGAAGAAGAGGTGGGATATAAGGCTGGAGGGACAGGTATCCTGGAGGCAGGACTGCAGGCCCACTCGAGCAAAGCATCAGTGTGAGCTGTGCTTCTGATGTTTCTTTGAAACCCAAGTGTTTGATTCCACTCTACTAAGCAGCCTCCACCCCGAGAGATTACAGTTGTAGGTTGCTGCCCTTTCTCCCTTTTGCAATCCTTGGAGCATGACCAGTTTCCATGATATAAATCTAGGAAAGTTACATCTTAGGCAGCTTTCTTGTTTATCCAGGCCAGGATTGAGAATTTCCTTTATTTAGGTATAATAAACATGTATCTGTGATATGTATTGAGATGAATAGCTTTATTTTTCCTTAGATATTAAAACCTATACTAAAGTTTATTACAACCCATTTTGAAGATATTAAAACAGATCCTAATCCCTTACACAACAAACTTTTACAGTTTTTTTTTTTTAATTAAAAGGAGTGCTTTTTCTTGCTCTTAAAAGTTTGTGATTGTGAATGTATAGCTTTGCTGTGGTGCTTTGGTAAATTTCACAAGCATGGCAGAGGAGCTGTGATGACTTGGTGTGAACATAATGTTTAGGCCTGAAAAATCACTTGGCAGAGATAATTCTCTTCCAGGATTCCTCCTATTCTATGGACTTTCCTTTGCAGCCTTCACTAAAGCTGGAGGGACCTCCCTGTCTACAGTGTAAGAAGATAGAGCTGTGGATCTTGCTGAAAAGTGCCTATTCTGGTCCTACCATTCCCCAAGTACTAAAGCACAGCTTTGTCCTTCTCTCGACATCTGCCTTCATCCTTCATCCCTGCTGCCTGGAAAGGGAGCAGTAAAATGGGAGTGTGTGGAGTGTGTGGTGTCATCTGCTAGACTGCAGCTGTCTTGTGTCCTGAGGTAGGAAGGAGGGGGAGGGAGAAGCAGCAGTGGGCAGACAATCTCTTTCTTAGCCCCTGCATCATGGGATTCCAAGACAGGGCATGCTAGTGCATAATTTTAAGGCTCACATTTTGTAGCACTTTAATCGTTTGTCAGGCCCATCCATGGCTATCACTGCATTTTTTTCCACATCTAAGCCACCTAGTAAGGAAAACTTTATTATTACACCCATTTTACAGATAAGGAAACAAAGCCCCCAAGAGGGGCTTAAATGGGTGAAAGTGGCAGAACTGGAGCCTAGAACCCAGGTTTCCAGATTTCAGACCTTGTTCTTTCCAGCTCCTCATATCATTGAGGAGAGAGAGGGAAGTCAAACCTAGTTTCCTTCAAAACTGTATGGTTTATGCCTACAATATATGAGCAGGTAACTTGAAAATCCTCTTCTCAGTGCAAGGGCCCAGCTCCCATACTGGGGGTGATGCAGTTTCCTGCAGTGATCCCCATCTCCAGGTTAGTGCAGGTGCATCTGCAAAATCAGCACGATTAGGAACAGACTTTCTGCCTTTCTTACAAAGTGGATGAGGCAGGGCACGGTGGCTCATGCCTGTAATCCCAGCACTTTGGGAGGTCAAGGTGGGAGGATCACCTGAGGTCAGGAGTTTGAGACCAGCCTGGCCAACCTGGTGAAACCCCATCTCTACTAAAAATAAAAAAAATTGGCAGGGTGTGGTGGTGCGAGCCTGTAGTCCTAGCTACTGGGGAGGCTGACGCAGGAGAATCGCTTGAACCCAGGAGGCGGAGGGTTGCAGTGAGCCAAGATGGTGCCACTGCACTCCAGCCTGGGCAACAGAGCAAAACTCTGTGTCAAACAACAACAACAACAACAACAACCAAAAAATAGAATAGTGAGATGCCACTTCACACCCTCTAGGATGGCACTAATCAAAAAGACTGACAATGACAAATGCTGGTGATGATTTGGAGAAACTGGAACCCTTGTACATTACTGGTGGGATTGTAAAATGGTACATCCACTTTGGAAAGCAGTTTCTCAGAATTCTCCAAAAGCTAAACACCATTACTATATGACCCAGCAACTCCACTCCTAGATATGTCCACACAAGGACTTGTATATGAATATTCATAGCTGCATGAAACCTAACAACCCAGATGTCCATCAGAGGATGAACTGATGATCCATATGTGGTATATCCATACAATTGGATTCCATGAAGCAATAAAAGGGAAGAAAAGTATTGATACAGGCTACAACATGGACATTAAAGACATTTGCTAAGGGAAAGAAGCCAGATACAAAAGACTATGTACTGTGTGATTCCATTTGTATAAAATGTCAAAGAAAGCACAAATCTTTACAGACAGAAAGGAGATTAGTGATTTCCTGGGGCTGGGAGGGTAGGAGTGCAGGTTAACTGCACATGACATGAGGGAGCTTGTTGGGATTATGAACATGGTCTAAAATTAAGTCGTGGTGATGGTTGCACAATGCAATAAATTCACTACAAGTCACTGAATTGCACACTTTCTATGGTGACTGCTGTGGTACATAAATTATACCTCTATGAAGATGTAAAAAAAAAAGGAGGAGGAGGCCGGGCGCAGTGGCTCACGCCTGTAATCCCAGCACTTTGGGAGGCCGAGGCAGGCAGATCACGAGGTCAGGAGATCGAGATCATCCTGGCTAACACAGTGAAACCCCGTCTCTACTAAAAATACAAAAAAAATTAGCCGGGTGTGGTGGCACACACTTGTAGTCCCAGCTACTCGGGAGGCTGAGGCAGGAGAATGGCATGAACCCGGGAGGCAGAGCTTGCAGCCGAGATCACGCCACTGCACACCAGCCTGGGCGACAGGGGAGACTCCCCCTAAAAAAAGAAAAAAAAAAGTAGAAGGAGGGTGGGAAGGGAGAGAGGAAAAAGATGGGGTGGAAGAAGCAGAAGGAAAAGAGGAAGGAGAGGGCTTTGGAGGGCCTCAGACATGGGTTTGAATCCTGGCTCACCCTTTCTCTAGTTGCGTGACTTAGGTGAGCGGTGCAGTTTTCTAAACTCTATCCCTCTGTGTTCTTATCTGTGAAATAGGAGTAATGGCATGGATCTTTTGAGGTTCTTTTCAGGATTAGCAATTATAGGAAAAGTGCCTGGCACATTGTAGATGTGTAGTAAATGATCGTTTTTTGTTTTGTCTAATTCTTCTCTTTTCCCACTCAGTTTTCTCTCCACCTTCTACAAATGTACGTTCTCATAAAAAGCTACCTAAGCGTGACAGGAATAAATGGCAGAGCTGGTACAATGTCTTTGGGACCGCTGCCTGCCAGCTTAGCTGTACCTCCTCCAGGCTGAGGAAGGGGTGCAGGCACCTGCAAGCTGGGCTCATTTCCATCACTGATCTAACCCTTCATAAGGAGTCCTCCCGTATACTACTTGGCTTTGGAAGATAAGGTTGTTTCAATGAAATCTTAACACATTTATGTTGTGCTATCTGGCTAAAGAAAGAAAAATGAACAATTAGATTTGGAAACTTTTTATGGTTAGAGTTATTCATTCTAATTATCCGTTGTAGATCTCTTCCTTATAGAAGCCCATAATGGCCCCTTGGAATCAGCCATCTGAGTAATTTATTGAAGATTTGCCAAGGATTTAAACAGCTTTCCCCTGTCTTCAAACTTCTGAGAGGAGTAGGTGGGGAGGAGGAGGGCTCTGGGCTTCAGAGTCTGTTTCAAGGCTCTTGAAATGCCTTACACTTCTCTCTTCTGAAAGAATGTTCCCGATGACTTAGGGTGCAGCTAAAAAGACATCAAAGAATAGCAGCAGGGGGCCAGGGAAGCTGGGGTCACTGGAGGCTTGCTTGGAAACTTCAGTTTCAGAAACTCAGTTTTTACAGTTCACCCAAGGATGATCTGATCGTAAGCAACTGATTTGGGGTTAGAAAAAAATGACAAAAACTGTACTAGAAATCACAGGATCAAAGTGTTGAATTTCTATTAGGGATAGACCTTTCCAGGGATCAAAATAGGGGAAAGTATTTCACATTCCACAGGTTTCGTCTCTTCCCACCCGTTCCACCGTCCTGACCCGATGCTGAGACTAAGGAAGTCAATGCGGAGAGTGAGTGAGGAGCTGAAATGTGAGCTTTGGCTCCCAAAGCAAGGCTAGTGATTTAGGAAGCGCCTCTTCCAAGCCACAGTAACCCAGATACCATATACATGATGGACTTTGCTTGGTAAGGGTGGAACCAGATCAAAGGATGCTGGTGGGCTTTTAAAAATTCACTTGCGTTGTGGCAGAATCTGAAGACCGATTACCTCCACTCTGTACATGTTGCTGACGAGGTAGAATGCCACTTCCCCAGGCAGAGTAGATGCACCCGTGTGTGCACGCACGTGCACGTGTGTGTGTGTTCCTTCTCTCCTTCCTCCTCTACTCCCTCTCCCTCCTTCTCCCCTATCTTCGGTCATCACCCAATAAACTTTCTTGTAGTACGCAGAACCAATCACTTTACTAAGAGTAAAGCTTATCTTTTGTTATTTCCTAAATTAATCCTTGAAAGAGTCTCTCGAGGAAATTTCTAGAAAGCACAGCACAGCAACTTCCTGACCCTAGGAAAGCCTGGATTTGTCAGGGACACAGTTCCACCCCATCCTAGACAGAGCATCCCCTGGGAAGACTTCCACAACCACAGGAAGTTTTGACCCACTGATTTGACTTGCTGGGCTTTTCCCGCATCAAAGATATCTTAATTCTGTATTTAAGAGTAGAAACATTTTAATTGGAATTTTAACAACACTAATGGATTTTTGTTGGAGAAGATGCTTTCTGAGGAAAAGACTAAGTCAATTTAAGACCATAATTTTCTCTATCGCACAAATTATTTCCAATTGTTTTCATTTAGATTGTTATTTCACTAAAATTCTTTTTATTGGAGTCATTTCTTCTCTGCATAAAATTTATAACTAAGATTTTTCACCAATCAGTATTATGAAAGCTGCCATTATGAATTTTTTATAGAACTATTATTTCTACTAAGAAAAATTTTTTTTGTGATTTGATTTTTTACCATATGCAATTTTGGGGGTCTTTTTGTTGGGTTTTTTTAAGGCAGTATTAATTTCATTTTCTGTTGTCAATATTCACCATAAAATGGCTTTAAAATTTGATGGTTTCATTGATTTGGTTTCATTGATTTTTGCCTAATGAGTAGTCTACTGGCTGTGGTTGATCTGTGATTGAATCTTCATACACTGCGCAGTCGCTTTGTGTACTGTATACTAGTTGTCCATACTGTTGAATATACACCCCTCCCCAAAAAAAAAAAATCTGGCAGGGTCAACATAGCAGGCATTAAAGGTGGCTAATTTGATTGCTTTTTGCCAGTTTTCTTTTCAGAAGGTGAGATTTTCTGAACATTTCCCCCAATTCATATTTGCATCTTTTTACTCACCTCCAATATCACCACAATTCATGCTTTGTGTCGTTTTTATTTGCAGTGGCCCTTTCAGCCTCTCACGCACTCTGACTAGGCCATGGAGGTCCATGCAGAATGGATTGCACCTGCCGGTGTGGGGGTCCTTGCTGCCTCTCCCATCCTCCCTCCGTGCTGCTTTCCGCCCTGTTCTTGTTTTTGTTGTTGTTGTTGTTGTTTGTTTGTTTGTTTGTTTGTTTTGAGACTGAATTTTGCTCCTGTTGCCCAGGCTGGAGTGCAATGGCGCGATCTCAGCTCACCGCAACCTCTGCCTCCCGGGTTCAAGCAATTCTCCTGCCTCAGCCTCCCGAGTAGCTGGGATTACAGGCATGCGCCACTATTCCCGGCTAATTTTGTATTTTTAGTAAAGATGGGGTTTCTCTGTGTTGGTCAGGCTGGTCTCGAACTCCCAGCCTCAGATGATCTGCCCGCCTGGGCCTCCCAAAGTGCTGGGATTACAGGCTTGAGCCACTGCAGCCAGCCTCTGGCCTGTTCTTGACCGTCACTGTGATGCCGCCTCAGTAGCCTTTGGGCTTCCTCCTTCACTACCAGCTTAAGCACTTACCTGTGACCATGAAATGAAATATTCCTCGTGCTTTTACCATGTGTCTGTGTGATGGGTCTGCTGGGCCCTGATGAACAGGCCAGACAGTGTTCATGGCTGTTGTTGATGAAGCGTCTCTCCCCGTGTAGGATGTGGCCGCGGCATTTGCCCACCATCTGTATCCTGTTATACCTGTGAGGATGCCAGTGCTTGGGAGGAAAGGGGTTTGCCAGAGGTCACTTGGCCAGAGCTGGGAGTCCAACACCTGCCTATCTGATATCACAGCGTGTGCTCTTACCCGCTGCACAGTGCTGCCCACCTCCTGCTGCCTGAGGAGCCAGGCCCTGAGGAAGCCATGCTTGGCTCCCTGGAGCAGTGGCACTTCCCCTTCCCATGGACCACATCCTCTCTCCCCGGTACAGCCTCGAGCTTCGAAACAGAAAGCCGAGCCTAGTATGCCGCGGCCGGCGGGCTTGGTTCTCAAATCCTGGGCTCCAGTGGGTGTAGCAGGAAGAACTTCGGGGAATTTCCAGACAATCTAACTCCCCTCTTGGAGCTTCTTGAAGATTCAGGGGCCTTTTTCTAGTGGGACGCTCACTGATGTCTAGATGTTCCGTGATGTTTGAGGCAAGGGAGAGTGGGGGAGTCCCATCGTGCCGGACATACCTTCTGGAAGAGACAAAGGCTTCTAAAAAGGTACATCCTAGAAAAAAATGTAGCTTCCTTGTCTGGGGGAAGTGCCAGAACCATCTAGAGTGCATGGATGCCAGGAAGTGGGGCAGTGAGACTCCTGCACAAGGTCAGGGTGGCAGCTCGGGATGTCGAGATTCCGATGTCCCTTTAACAAGAAACCCCAGCCTGGGAGAACTGGAAACCAGATGTCACAACTCAAAATTATGGTATTTGGGGAAATACCACAAGATTTTGAAGGGTCTGATTCTAAGGGAAGGAGGGAGCCAGAGATGTTTTTCCACAGGATTTGGAAGGATGTGTGGTTTTCATCCAGGACATTCAAGGAAGCCAGTGTTATTTATTCTTCCTATGGAAATCCAAACTTGTGGGAATGTACCATGTGTTGGAATTGAAGCCATTGTCTGATGCAAACATATTTCCGTGATTTTGAAGTTGGCGACATTACTATACACTGATTGGCATGGGGACTTAGGAGGACAGCTCCAGAAAGCTGTCTTGTAGCTCCTGTCTCCTGGTGGACGTCCTTCACAGAATTGTCTTCTTGGTCCTCTAGAGAGCTTTGTGGGTGGAAAGTGGCATTTTCCTCCTTACAGGAAGAGAAATTGAGAGAAGGGGGTTATTTCACTTGATGAGATCACACTTTGGTGCTCAGCCTGCACTGAGCCTAGGAGTGTGAATTCCTAAGTTCACATAGGCATTCTAGAGAGACCACAGCATCACATAGTCATTCTAGCTAGCGACCGCAGCATCACACAGACACTCTAGAGAGACCACAGCATCACAAGACACGCTAGAGAGACCACAGTGTCACACAGGCATTCTAGAGAGACCACAGCGTCACACAGGCATTCTAGAGAGACCACAGTGTCACACAGACATTCTAGAGAGACTGCAGTGTCACACAGGCATTCTAGAGAGACCACAGTGTCACACACACGCTCTAGAGAGACCACGGCATCACACAGGCACTCTAGAGAGACCACAGCGTCACACAGGCACTCTAGAGAGACCACAGCGTCACACAGGCACTCCAGAGAGACCACAGTGTCACACAGACACTCTAGAGAGAACACGGTGTCACACAGACACTCTAGAGAGAACATGGTGTCACACAGACACTCTAGAGAGACCATGGTGTCACATAGGGATTCTAGCGACCACAGTGTTTCCCCTCCTGAATGTCCCTCTTTGTGTAGTTTGTGTACCTGTGTAAAGATGTGAAATCTCCTCTGTAGAATTGATGAACTCCTCCCTAAAGCCAGGATACCACTTCCTTTCAGGTAAGGGGAAGTCTATCTTTCTCTTACTGCACCAATGTCACTTTCTTTAGAGTTTGTGTTGAGCTGGCACGATGATGGCGTACAGCAATGTTGACATGCTCTGCTAAAACACAGAATATACTGTGATTATAATCAGTTCTTATATACAGGGCCATGGAAGGGGAAGGATGATGGCATAACCAGGGTGAGGAGAAGGTCATCCTGAGGGCAAGGAACACAGAGGTTGTGGTGTAGTGGGGAGTAAAGGACCAAGTGGCATGAAGAGGATGGAAAACTTGGGACCACATGCATGGTTCAAGAATACAGTCAAAGCATGGAGAGAGTGGTCTGGAGCATGTTAGTGAAAATTCCAGGCCCACCCCTACCCAGCCAAGGGCATCAAGAGAGGTGATGACTTGTGGGTCTGTCCATCTCTCACAACAGCTTTCCGTGTCCCCTCCCTTCCTCCTGGGGTGCTGGCCACTGCAGGGCTCTGAGTCATGGGACATTCCAGCTTAAAGGGACCTCAGCAGTCATGGAGGTCACCCTGGACAACTCCTTTGGTTTACAGATGAGTAAACTGAGGCTCAGAGACAGGTGTAACTCCACCCACTGACAACAGAGCCAATCAGTGACAGGCCTGGGACCCTGGCATGGGGTCTGGTTCCAAGTCCAGGTATATATAGCCCTCCTTTAACTTCCTGGCTCCTGAAACAGAATATCTAAATCTTTGCTACTCAAACTGAGGCCCATGGAAGAGTAATGTCAGCATCGCCTGGGAGTTATTAGAAATGCAGACTCTTGGGCCCTGACTCACCTGGTAAATCAGAATCTGCATTGCAACAAGACCACAGGTGAGTCACCTGAATGTGAGAAGCACAGCCCTGGGGCCTTTCCACGTCCCTCCTGTGACCTTCCTCTACAGCATAGCCTCTGCTTCCTCTCCACTGCAACTCCCAGGACTGTCGTATTTTCAGGAGTTTTGCTAGCTACAAGTTCCTCTACTTTGAGCGTTCTGTTTAATCACCTCCCTCCCTGCAGTGCCTGTGAGATAAATAGCGTCTTATTCCTTATTATTACATATTTAAAATAGCCATATGAACTTAGTCTATGACTTTGAGAAGTGTGTTGACTTCTTGGGGCCTTAGTTTCAGTGTCTGTAAAATAGACCCACTGAGTGCAAAGAGCCATTCCAGCGTTATCATTCCATGATTCTAGAAATAAATCCCTCTTTCTCCTTTGCTTGGTTGTGAAAATCTGGGAACCTAAATACTTTAGAGGATTATTTCGACGGTTCCACTGCTTAAACAGAAGAAATGACGTCTTCTGTTAATTTTAAAATGCAAAGCTCCGTGCACACCCATGTAAATTCAACAAGCAAACTGTAGGTACTGCAAAATAAGATATTTCAATGACTCACTGGAATATTACTATCATTAGTAGTGTAACTGGCGTATTTGGGAGGATAAAGCAAGATGATGGAACGGTAGCTCTTTTGAGTGAGTGAGGGAGTGAGTCAGTCAGTCAGTTGGGTTTTAGAAGGAAGCCAGAGATGAAACCCTTCATGCAGAGTCGGCAGGGCAGGGCAGGCGGCACATTGGGCACAATAATCTCTGGAACAGCCCTCTGCAGTGGATGTGCTGGGCGTGAGGAGGAGGGGAGGCCAGATGGGCTTTTCAGGAGAAAAACCCCCCTGGAGGATGTTAATCAGGGGAGTGGGCAGCTCTTTGTGCTTGGGAAGTGGGAGGCATTTTTATTCCAAGTGTGGAGGTAACATGAAAGGCAGCTCAGGAACAAAAGGAAGCAAAGGACTCAATGAGGACGGAGGAAATGGACCAAGGCAAGGAGGTGTGGCGGGACCTGTTTGGGAGGAGACTGACCTGGGAAGACTGAGCAGGTGCAACGGCATGGAAAAGAGTCCCAGCCATGCTGAGCCCAGGAGGGGACTTAGAGAGCAGAGGCTGCTGCCTCAGAAGCCAGGCCTTCCCTGCAGAGCCTCTCAGGGACAGCTTGTTTCCTAGCGGCCCCAGGAGCCTTCTACACCCTGCCTTATAATACACATCTGCAAGTTTTTGGTGGCTGGAGTTGTGACTGGGAATCTGATCTAACCTAGAGCCATCTGCCAAACTACACACTCAGACTGTCCCTGATTACCTCTCACACCTCATTGTTAAAATTATTCAGGACATTTGTTAAAACATGAAGGCAGACTGTATTCAGGGAGACCATGCAGGGTCATAGGGACCAGTGCAGTGGGGTTTGCAGTAGGGAAGAGGCATTGGGCTCCGCTCCAAATACAGCAAGGAACAGTGGGAATTTACAGCCAAGGAGCAGAGTTGGGAGCAGTGGATGGAAGACTACTAAAAGGAAGCCTCAGGGCTGAGGGGGCTTCTGGCTAAACCAACCTAACCAGATTCCAGGCGAAGGCAGGCCAGGGTGGTCAGAGATTCCCTGGGGGATGGTGGGGGATGAGGAGCCCCATTGAGTAGCAAAGGGGATCAGATATTGAGGGTGAGGGTTCTGGCTAACTCGACTCAGCAGGACTTTTGCTAAAATTGAGCATTGCAGAAACAGACATAGAAGCCCCCAAATCAGGGCCTCGCTGGGAAGAGCACTCAGAGATGCCTGACTAGAGTTTGGCAAGGATGGGATCTTCCTTATCACGGATGCCTTCAGGTCATCCACATGTTCACACACTCTGTGAAAATAGGACTTTGCTGAGGTGTCCTCTTTGGGGTCCACATGCACATCTGTGATATTACTGAGACTCTGCCATAATAATCACCCTCCGAACCCCTGTCATGATCAAACCAACTCACCCTTTGCCTTCCCGGTGACCTTTCTCACTTCTTTACTTTAGACTCGTATGCTGGGGGGTGGGAGAGGGCTGGGGGGAAATACAGCCTGCTCTGGGGGAGCTGTATCTCCCTTCCCTCTGTGCCCTGGAAAACTTACATGTAAGGATGGGAGATACATTAACTGTTTATTTTGTGTTTCTGGTAGATAAGTTCTGAGATTAAGAATCATTGCCTACAAACATGAGTTGATTGATGGCTACCATGTAGTTGAAAGTCTGACATGGGCAGCACTCAGAGCCTAGCGGGTACTTAGAGAGAGGACAGGGAAAGCAGACGGAGGTGCCACCGGGATGAGTGGAGTTGTCCCATGAGGGCTCTTCCTGCCACCATGTTTGGTAAGGAAGAAATTCCCCATAATTTTCATCTGTCCAAATTTACCTTCCAAGGCTTTTAGAGAAAAAACTTGGCTGACATAGATAGACAGAAGCGAACACCATTTATTCAGAAACTGTAGATAAAGCTTTCTAGGAGAAAACACAAGTCCAAGTGGGTGAATGCCATGTTACATACCACCACAATTTGGAGCGTCCACTTTTTAAAAATCTCTTCATTTTCCTTTAAGGATGGAAACTCGAAGTCTAAGTGTCCTGGAGTGAATGAGGGAGTGGTTCTTTACATTCAGTAGAAATTAGCAGAATAGAAGTGGGCTAAAATCTTCTGCTGCCTTCACCAAACCCAAATATAACACCCTTGGTGGACGATGAGTGGCAGCTCCACTAGGAATGTAAGGCAGGCCGTAGGCGAGACGGCACGAGTTCTAGCAGTGACATTTAAAAAGTAAAAAAGCATATTTTTAAAAGTAAATTAATTTTAATAGTATATTTTACTTAAGCCAGAATATCCCAAATATTATTTTGATGTGTATTTGGTATAAAAGAGTACTAATGGAAGATTTTACGTTCTTTTGTCACACAGTACATTTCAGTTCAGACTAGCCACACTTCCAGAGCTCTGTAGAATAGGCACACGGGACTAGGGGCTCCCAAACTGGACTGCACAGATTTAGAGGACAAGGAATTGGACCTAAAGACTTAACTGAAATCTCTCGGATGTATCCATCTTATTTATTTTATTTTTGATCATTTGAAAGAATTCTAAGCTTTTTGAGCCAGCGAGTAAAAAAACGTCGGCATTTGGGATGTGGCTGTTCCTCTGTGATCACCACTGTGATGGTGGTGACACTCTGCAGAGAGAGATCTATCAAGAATCACACAGGAATGCCTATGACTCTCATCAGCCTTGCCTCAGCTGTTGACTTCTTGGGCAGGGTCAGTTACAGGCTGAGTCCCCTGTGCTCTATATAAGTCCCCACCTGAATTAGGGGTGCCTGCACCCCTGTGTGTCAATCCTGCCACCCGAAGTGGGAGTGGGAGCTATGGTCTTCTCTCTCCTCTATACAGTTCTCATGTTTTTAGGAGAGACCTTTGACAGACTGGGTGACGGTTGCCCAGGGTTCTCTTCCAGGGCCCCTCTCTTTCCCAGCTGTCCCTTAAGGACTCAACATGGATTTTACATCATTTGGATGCACCTTCCTCAATGCCACTTCCATTCTAGAAAAGAAAAGGCATGTTTCTCTTAGAGGCAGATGATGAGGTTTTCGTATCTTACATAATATTAATTTTGTGAATGCCAACAAAAAGTTCATGTTCCTAGAAAGGAACACAGACACGGAGCTGGTCACAAATGGTTTGTCTGCGTAATCAGGGCTGATGAGGCTGCCTGACCCCCCAGGCCCTCCTTGCAGCAGGACGTCTGTCCTGTAGCTGAACAAACTTTTGGTTGGTGACTACAAAGAGAATTCCCCATTTTTTCTCTCAAGGAACACAGACTTTTCAAACATTTACGTGGCTATTTTTTATCGTAGGATATCCCAGACATGTAATGAAAAATGTTCCTGGATAGCTGTTTACTTAGAAAATTAATCATTATCAGTTAATCCATCTTAGGCATGGTATTGTCTTAGGTGCTATAGAAGAATCAAAAGAATTCCAGCTGGAGGGCTAGCACGCACAGTGCAACCCCTGATAGCTTCTTTTTTTTAAACAGAGCAGCATCAACAAGGACAGATTATTGTAATGCAGGGTTTACAGCCCCTGCCCTGTTGCCAGATAATTCCTTGTTGTGGGCCCCGCACCCCCACCCCTGTGTATTGCAGGGTATTGAGCAGCATCCCCACCTTCTACCCACTAGAATTGTGCCAAAAAAATTATCTCCCGACATTGCCAAATGTCCCCTTGGGCACAAAGTCACCCCCAGTAGAGAACCACTGCTGTAATGTGAACTGAATTTGTGAGGGCTGAAGGGACCGTCCGCCTAGGAGGGGATCAGGAGGGATTAATCACGGGAGGCCTCTGGAGGACAGAGATGCACGCTGGATTCACAAGACACGCAGGCCATGAATGGCCGGAGGAGGCGGTACTGGGATGCGGGGCGGCAGAGACCAGGAGAAGGGAGGTGTTATTTTACAAACTAGCGACTGAACAGGAAAATATGGGGACCCCAGCTAGATGTCTTCAGCTGCCAAGCGTGGCGTACTCGGAGTAATTAGTGGATTTGGTTCGTGTTGTGGTGGGTCATAGCTGCACAAGGCAGGCGTCAGCAGGCAGGAAAGCAGAGCCAGCAGAGAGGACAGGGGTGGGGGGTGGAGGGTGGGAAGGGGGGATGGCCAGCACCCCACAGCGCTCGCTGTCCCCGGGCCCCATGTGTGTGTGTTCCACATGCCCATCAGTCCTCTCGGCAGCCCTCTAAGCCAGAGGCTACTGTGATTCCCACTTTACAGCTGGAAAAACTGAGGCACGCAAAGGACGAGTAACTCCCAAAGCCTCTCAACTAGTAATCAGCAGAGCACAGCTCAAAGGCCTGCCTGGCCGCTGAGCTCATGCCCTCACTGTGCTGTTTGGTAGGGGTTAAGGCAGTGCCAGGGGATGGAGCTCCTGTCGCCAGCAGGCGGAACGGGTCTCGAATCCAGGCAGTCAAACAAGGTTTGAAAGGAATACAAATGCCTACCCTAATTGACAGCACAGTCAGGAGCACGTACAGAGTGAGACTGAACAAGAAAGCCAGAGATGGAGTCCAGGGAGACAGCTCAGAGCCGAGGCCCCGGGGCTGGAACAGGGGACACGAGGCTGGTGTTGAAGCAAAGGCTGGAGCAGAGTGACAGGTGGGGACAGAAAGGGGAAGAGATGGCTGCCACCAGCTGAAGGACAGGCCCGGGCGGGTTCCAGGCGAGCTGAAGAGTGCTGACTCTGGTGGAGAAGCCAGTGAGAGGTGGGGCTGATGAGGAGGAAGAGTTGCGGGCACTGAGGGGCTCGGGTTAGAGATGAGGCCAGGCCTGTATCAGGGAACTGGAGCGCAGAGGGATCCCTCCAAGAGACACTGAGGGAGGACTCAGTCCTCTTTCTCCACGAGGGAAAGGCCGAGAGCCTGGACCAGACCATGCCACTCCGGGCTGTGTCCTGGGGAGGCCGCTCAGCCCTCCAGCTGCAGTCACCTTCTCTGAACCAGGGGCAAAATAGCACCACCTGAACTGCCGGGCTGCTCGGAGAATGACATGAAATATTGCACCTGCGGGCCTAGCACAGCCTCTCGCACGCTGTAGCAGGAGAGGAGGATTTGCTAGTGGTGACTAGGTCAGGGCAGAGTGGGAAATTGCAGCCAAATTAAACAGAGGGGCAGGGCCAGCACCACGGGCGGGCAGAGGACCTGTGCCAGGCTGGTGGCTCTGGGAGGGTTCTGCCAGGCGTCAGGATTGGTAGGGGTGCCTGTTCTGATAGAAGGGAAAAGAAACTTGACTTTTGCCATGTTAGGATTTTAGTCTCCAATGGCTCATCCTATAATATATATGGATTTTATAGACATGGACAGAAAGTGCACAGTTGATTTTCACATTCGGCAGAGGTGAGTCGTTGGTTAGATGTGTCCAGCATGCGTTAGATGGAAGAATGAGATGAAAACAAAACGTTATTTTAGGGGCAAGACTTTGGTTGTCCTTATTTGCAAATTTAGCTCTAAGAATAACTTCAAGACAAGGAAGGGGTTTGTGGTCCACCTCTTGTCAGCTGGGTCCATTGCTATCTGCAGACTTCCTCGTTTCATTTCTGTAACCACTGAGAGGAGTGTGAGCAATAGATGGCTCTCAGCTCAGTGCTCCCAAGCAAATAGACTAGCAAAGGAATGGCGGCCACTCCCCTGTGGGAGGCCCATGCTGTGCAATCCGGGCAGAGTACTGGGGACTGCTCTCACTTCCGTCACCCTTATTGGGATAAATAGTGAATTTCCCCTGATTTCCAATGAATGATTTTGATTGGCCAAGCCAGCGCTGTCCAGTAGTCTATAATGTGAGCCACACATGCAAGCCACACATGGTAAATTTTCCAGCAGCCACTGTATAATAGTAAAAAGAAGCAGGTGAAGTTCACTTTAATAGTATGTTTTATTTAGCCCAGTTATTGGGAGTATGATCATTTGAAAAGTAATCAATATGTAAAGATATTTAAAGTATTGAGATATGTTACATTCTCTTTTTTTGTACTAAATCTTTGAGATCTAGCCACAATATGTGTGCCCAAGAGCCCCCTGCAGACAGTGGCCAGCACCTTGGACAGCATAGATCTAAACTCCTCAACCGACATGCTGCCATTCCCAGAAATGGCTGATAATTACTCTGAGCCAGGTGACATTCATGTCCCCCTGATCCCCTTTTGACAGATGCCTGGTATTCTGATGGTTCATTTCTGACCTGGCTAGTCTGCATTACACAGGGAAACTGTTCAAGAGCCATGGATCACCCAGAGCGCCCACAGGTAGGCCGTTCAGTGACAAGAGTAGCCAATCGAGAGGGCTGACACCCAGCTGTTACCAAGTCTAGAGGAAAACAAAACTAATGACTCTGGTGCAAACATGGAATCCAATTTTGTGGAGAGGAGGAATTTCTAATATAAGAAAAGCAATGGCCCATCAGTAAAGAAAGATTGGATTCAGGCAAAAGCAATGAAAGACTCAGAATTGTGTTTTTGGTTTTATGTCTTCTGTTTGGGATCCTCATTTCAGGCCCTTATGATTCTGTTTTTCCACTTGACAGTGCACAGGGTGGTTGTAAGGAGTCATTACTAAAACAAAAATGATTGGGATGGCATTTTGCAAAAATCACCAAGTGAACTTTGGTGGTAAAAAAAAAAAAGCAAACAAACAATAAAACAAAGTTCAAGTAATGTAGATCAGAGATTCCTCTTCCCTGCTGTAGGAACTTTCTAGGGGAGAAGCATCTGGAAGCAGGACTTGCAGGCACAGCTGCTCAGCCCCCAACCTCGGAGGGTGGATTTCCCCCCAGCTCTCTAATACAAATGAAAGTGAGCCCTTTGAGTCTAATCACACTTCCCAACTCTTACAGCTCAAAACACACAAACAATGAGCTTTTTCAAGCTCCCCATGAAGCTCTGCCGAGATAAAAGCAGTTAACAACCACTCTTCCATGATGATAAATGGTTGTTGGTTTTCTTTAATCAATATTTTAATAACTATTTGCACACTTTGACAATTATGACTACAGAGAGACTGATGGTGATTACAGAAGCAGATTGCAAAGGTGATTCACGAGGATGTGGTGGTCGGCCATCTCTCTGGGACAAGTGGGCTTTAGCCGGGAACCTGCTGCCCCACAGGCTTCTGAAGCAGGTGTACTGTAGCTATTGCGTGGGCAGCTGATGTGGCAACAGTCGGCCCCGCTTCCTGGCTGACGCGCTCTTCTCCAGGACAGCTTTGCTCCCCAGCAAGTGCAGCAAAAATTCACTCCAGAATCAGTCACTTGCCTCTTTCCGTGGGCATGACTTTAGAGCCATTGGCTTTAGAGCTGAGTTGGCCACCACCCTGTGCCTGCATGAGTGGAAAGAATCCGCTCAAGCTGGAACTGCCCTCAGGTCTCCCAAGGAGAGCCCAGCCACCCTGCCATCTTGAAGGGCATCTTCCTGGAATAACAGCATGCTCATGTTTCCTGGCACTTCTTCTCATTCTCAGTTAAAGACATACTCCATTCATTGTTTTCACTGTTTTGTTTTTCCCCACTTCAAGCTCCAGGTTGTCATGAATACTATTTTGGAGTTGGACCCATTATAAATGTTTTGTCCAGAAAAGAGTCTGGAAGGAAAGCTCTGAAACGTCTGGATTTACAGAGAGAGAATTAGGAGCTGTCTTTCTACATTGTGTCAAGTTTTAGAAATAAACATGAAGAACCAAAATAATAAAATGATGGAAAAAATTCACTGTGAAAGAAGTTGAAATAGGCCCCCATGGACAGGGCTGCAGGGAGCAAAATAGAAACCTTACTTGAAAATAAACATGAAGATGTTCATGATAGAGTTATTTATAATAGTGTAAAGGAAGTAGAAGCAATTTCTATGCATACCAGGAGGGAAATGGATACACGAATTACACTATACGTCTATGATGAATTACACTATACCTTTCCACTCATGCAGGCACAGGGTGGTGGCCAACTCAGCTCTAAAGCCAATGGCTCTAAAGTCATGCCCACGGAAAGAGGCAAGTGACTGATTCTGGAGTGAATTTTTGCTGCACTTGCTGGGGAGCAAAGCTGTCCTGGAGAAGAGCGTGTCAGCCAGGAAGCGGGGCCGACTGTTGCCACATCAGTTGCCTACACAACAGCTACAGTACACCTTCTTCAAAAGCCTGTGGGGCAGCAGGTGCCCGGCTGAAGACCACTTATCCCAGAGAGATGGCCAACCACCACGTCCTCGTGAATCACCTTTGCAATCTGCTTCTGTAAACGCCACGTTGTTAGAACGTCTTAAAATATTGATATCAAAGATATCTAATGGCTTATAAAAGTTATCCTTATACAATTTCAATGAAAATATGCAAAATACAAAATTGGATGTACATTGGGATCTTAATATATATAGGAATTATAAGGAAATATAAACAAGTTTTTTTTTGTGATTGGACTGGCAAGTAATTTTAGTTTTTTTCTCTGTACGTTTCTGATATTCCCTATGATGAGCATGTGTTACCTTTATAATTAGAAGAAAAAAAATCAGTAAATGTCATTACATAAACTCTAGCATTAATAGATATGCATTCAGCAAACATTTATTAAGCAGTACTTCTTACTCATTGCCTTGGCCTTGGCAAATCACGAATTCTCTCTAGGGGCTTTGTGTTTTCATCTGGATAATGGGATCCCACGGCCTTGCCTGACTCACAGAAGCATTATGAGGAACGGATGCATTAACCTGAAGAAGCTGTGAAAATAGCAGATTGCTTATCCAAGCACAACATTATGAGGCGTGGCGTGTCTAATCACGAACCCACTAGAACATGAGAAAGAAGAAATTGAACAAGACTGTAATGAGTTGTTTGGAATGGAAGCCCATAAGAAACTAAAACCAAAAAATAGTCAGCATTTAAATGCAGAGTGCAGAAGGACATTTCGGGGAGCCCAGGTCCTCAGAGCGTGGGGGTGTTAGCTGCCCTGTGCAAGGCGGTCCTTTATTGGAAATCGCCTCAGAGAGCATTGCTGAGTGTGGCTTCTTGCAACTACACCTGAGAACGACATTCACTCTGCTTCATTGAAAACAATCTATCCCGTGTGTGGAAGAAGCATGCCTTGCTGGGGTCAGGGCCAGGGACAAAGCTCAGAGGCCATGCTGAGTTTTCATCAAACACCTGCTGAGCAGCTGGCACGTGCCAGGACACGGTCTAGGCTGAAGGCTGCCATCGTAGTGCAGAATAGAATCCCGTGGAGGTTGGAAATGTTTACCTGCTTGCTTTTTTTCTTACCGTGTGTATTATTTTCAGTAATAAAATGTATACATATACAAGTGAGCACCTTCCCCTGGAAATTCTGACTCAGCAGGTAGAGTGTCCGACGGGCGCGCATGTGAGACCTGCTGTCCCGGCGCTCAGATACACATGGGGGACAAAAATGACAAAGCAGCCACCCTCAGTTTATAATTAGGAAACAGAAACTATACACGCACACCTGGCACAGAGCAGGTGCTCTCACCCAGACCTCTTGAATTGTTGAGTTGAATTTATTTATTTATTTGAGATGGAGTTTCACTGTTGTCACCCAGCCTGGAGTGCAGTGGCGTGATCATGGCTCACTTTAACCTCCACCTCCTGGTTTCAAGTGATTCTGCCTCCACCTCCCAAGTAGCTGGGATTATAGGTGTGCACCACCACACCCGGCTATTTTTTGTATTTTTTGTAGATAAGTGGGGTTTTCACCATGTTGGCCTCCCAAAGTGCTGGGATTACAGGTGTGAGCCACTGTGCTGGGCCCTGAATTTAAAAGTTAAACGCAGAATACATAGATGTTCTCAGAGGGTTAGATACTTTTTTTCCCTTAGTATCTGAGGTTTTTGTGGGTTCAGTGAGAAACCTGGGTGTTTATAACATATAAACAAAATGATTTCAGTTCCTCAACTCACACAGCTTTTCACAGGGAAGGGGCAGAAGATGCAGCTTGAAGGTATCCAGAAAACATGTGTGGGGCAGTCAGACGGAGCAGCTGCAGCCTGGGGGCGTAGGGGCTGTGGGGACCTGCAGTAGCCTGGTTGGCAACCATGAGAAGAGAGAGGAAGGGCCTATAAGTCAGTCCATCTGTGACCACAACACCCACAGCCCTGGGCAATGAAGGGCAGAAGTGGGGACCAGGGATGCCCAACTGGGGTTTAGCCGTGAGAACAGCTGGTGCAGCCTCAGAGAAGGCGCTGCAGAAGCTCCCAGGGTGGACGCTGGGACTCCTGGGCCAGAAGCTCTGTGAGCGTGGCGAGGGGTCTCTGCCTTGTTCCGCTGTCCCTGGCTGGCCCCTCATTTTCTGTTGGTGGGGCCAGGGCTGCTGCTGGGCTCTCCATGCGATTCTCTAGGCAGATTTGGGGTGGGGGCTCCCGAGAGGGTCTGTGAAGACTACCACTTCTCCAGGTACAGAGAGGGAGGGGACCCTAAGCTGCTGCCTCTCGCTGAGGTCAGCAGACACTCGATGAGCCACCTGAGCAGCTCATTCGCAGGCAGGTTCCAGGCCCAGTCCTGAGCTCACCACCCAGAGTCTGTTGGAGACAGGACCTGGGAATCTGCATCTAGCACAGTAATGTTTGAGAGTCACTGACTTAAAATATCCTCACATATATAGGGAGCGTTTTATGTGTGTGAAGTGTAGTGCTGTGGAGAGGGGCAGCCTCCTCAGAAAATGGAGGTTGTGTCAGCTAGGAAGCTGCTCAGGACAACGGTTCCCTCCCGCCTCCCACCGCCCCCCAAGCACCCACTGTGCCCAGGTCAAGGAAGAACCTAGAACTCCCCAACCCCACCCCTGCCCTGCAAGAGCTGTGCATTCCTGACAAGAGGCTGCCCAGGAGGTGAAAGGGAGCAAGGCGGCATGGAGGCTGGGGCCATGTGGATGTAGGGTTCATGGTCTTCCTGCGGTAAGAAGCCGGCTCCACAAGGGCCTAGTGTCTCCCAGGCACCCGGAGCTGGGCTGGACTCCTGGAGGTGGTAACTAAGGCAGAGTCCTTGCTCCCACTACAAGCCTGGAGGCTGGAGGGGAAGGCAGCCAGGTTGACTCAAGGGCCTGGATGGCAGAAGTACTGGCCAGGCCTGCCCTCCCAGGAAACACCACGGCCACCGCTTAGCAATGCTTCCTGGAAAGGCCCCTGCCCGAGCTTGGCCTGCCTGGGCGTTAAGCGTGCCTCTTCCCCAGCTCCAAGCCAGAAGAGGAGCCGGAGCAGGTCCGGGTGATGTGAGATCACCCAGGAGTGGCTGGTTTCTGCCTTGCCCTGCTCTGACTTGGGGGAGGCTGTTTTGTTTCTTCCCCCTTCCCGGAGTGGAATTTCTCTGTTGAAAGTGGGAGTGTGTGCTCTTATGCCTCCAATACCTGGTTCTCAGGTGGTGCTTATTAGAGAGACCCCATGGCAAGCACTTGCCAGCCCCAGCAGCTCCGTGTATCCACACTGTGTGTATCCAGAACAAAGCTGGTCACTTCTTTACATAGGATGTAAAAAAGATTGGAGTGTGTCCCCAGCCAGCAGGGGCATGCGGTGGGCACTGAACAGGACTAAGTGCGAACTAGGACCAGAGGCACAAGTCACGGATTGCAGATGTCCAGACCTCAAACACCCGGGGAACTCTAAGGCCAGACTTCTAGGTTAGTTAGTTGAGGCTGTGGGGCTGCGGTGAGTGAGGTTGCATTGCAGTTGCATTGCAGTTCTGGGACTTTTCTAGAAGCTGCATGGAAGCGAAACAGTGTGCTCTGGTGGGCTCATAGGCTTCAGGCTGAATTCAGTCATCCCCAAATCTAGCCATTCTGAGTGGCTCCCTAAGGGGGAACCCCTGTCTGCAGACCAACCCCAAGGGCCAGACAGAAAGCAAAAGCCTACCAGGTTTCACTCTGAGGATGTCAGGGCCCTTGCAGAGAGGAAACTGGGCTGGAAATTCAAAGAATGTCTCAGAATCGTATTTCTCCTTAGTGAAATTGACAAAAGAATTGAGAAACTCCTTTTCTGCTGACCAGATTTTTAAAAAAATCCAACCTCACATTCTTCAGTTAGAACTGTTCTTGCATGGTGGTCACAGCTGGTGCCTGCTCACTCATAGTTGGGGCAGGGCGGGGGCTTTGGTTGGATAATCAGGCAGAAGACAAAGATTCAGATCCCAATTCCCTCTGCCGTCTTCATGTCAACCACACCAGGAACCTGAGCAGGTCTCTTTCTTTTCCAGAAGTGGGGTTGGGGGGAAGAACATATTCAGAGGCATCAGTATGTCTATTTGGCTGGAAAGAATTATAGGTATTTAGGAATTGTCTTTTATGTTATGAATACATTTTTTAAAATATGTAGAAATTGGTGACCATTACAGACAAATCTCTAGAACTAGAAACTCAGTTCAACCCAATACATCAGATGTCTAGTGAGTTGTCAGACATCTCTGCAAGGTAGTAAACATTGAAAATAATACAAAGATAAATGAAATAAGTTTTGTGTATGTCAAAATCTAGACCAAACTGCTATTGATCACAAGATGCTTGCTAAGAAATAATTTCTTAAATCTGTCAGCCCTTACATTTTGATTTCACAGCACTTATAGTCCTTTATTAAAGTACCACTGAGCACCAGCAAAGGAGGACAAAATCAATACTGCCAATCTTATGATCAGACTTAGATAAAACTCATTTTTGCCTGATTTCCCTTTGAGAACTCATAGGTTTGGGCCTCTGACGGCTGCTCTGGGTCCTCCAAGGTCAATACGGGGCAGGAGGGGTGAAATTATAGAGATCTGTGGGTGAGCTTCTGCATGCTGCTTTTGATGTAAAAGTATTTTCCAAAGTAAGAATATTTGGGCCGGGCATGGTGGCTCACGCCTGCAATTCTAGCACTTTGGGAGGCTGAGGTGGGTGGATCACTTGAGCTCAGGAGTTCGAGGCCAGCCTGGGCAGCATGGTGAAACCCCACCTCTACTAAAAATACAAAAACATTAGCCAGGTGTGGTGGCATGCACCTGGAGTCCCAGCTACTTGAGAGGCTGAGGTGGGAGGATCACCTGCGTCTGGGAGGTCAAGGTTGCAGTGAGCCAAGATTGCACCACTGCACTCCATCCAGGCAAAAGAGTGAGACCTTATCTCCAAAAAAAAGAGTATTTGAATAATTTCATTTTAATCAGTCTAAGTAGAGAGGTGTTGAGATTTTTCGTGTAATTAATGGTGGACTGGATTTGAGTTAAATAAGCATTGATTAAGTGCTTGCCTATTGTGTGCCTTCAACACATTTACCATCTGTGGGAATAAGGCAAAAATACAAAAAATTAGTTTATGGGGAACATAGGCAAGTTACTTAGTGTTATTCAGATTCAGTCACATGCATATTGAAGAGCCCAAACCAAAGCAAGGGTCAGTGGAGTCAAAAGATTGGGTACAGGCCAGATGCAGTTGCTCGCGCCTATAATCCCAGCACTTTGGAAGGCCGAGGCGGGCGGATCACCTGAGATGAGGAGTTCAAGACCAGACTGGCCAACATGGAGAAACCGTGTCTTTACTAAAAATACAAAAATTAGCTGGGTGTGGTAATCCCAGCTACTATGGGGGGCTGAGGCAGGAGACTGGTTTGAACCCAGTGCAGGAGGCGGAGGTTGCAGTGAGCTGAGATTGCACCACTGCACAGGTGATGGAGCAAGACTCCGTCTCCAAAAAAAAAAAAAAAGGTTGGGTCCAGAGAAACCCCTGTCCAGAATCCTAGACCCAAAACAGATAGGAACCTCTCTCTCCAGCCCCCTGTTATATACACCTAAGAGACCCAGGGAAGTTAAGTCACTTGTGGTGGCAGAACGGGGACAATATAACTCGGTTTCTTGATTCCCAGGAAAACGCTCTTTCCTCTGCCCCTGGCTTTCTCTGGGTGCACAAGCTGGATAATATTTTGGCAGATGAAAGAATGCAATTTCCAGTAGCATAAAAGGCACTTTTCTTAGAGATAAATGTTATGCCGATGTTACCAAGCAATCACTGGGCTCACTGCCTGATGCACATAGAGGCCAACACCATGGCATTGGCTTTTGAGAGAAGAAAAGCTCTATTGCGAGTCAACTGGCAAGGAGAAAGAAGGAAAAGCTCAAGTCTTTCTCTCTAAAAAAACCCGAATTCCTGAAGCCAGTCCCACTGTTGGCTAGCCGAATCCAGACTGTCATTTGCCAGGCTGGGGGTGTCTCTCAGTCCACCAGAGCACGAAGTGGCCAGAAACAGAAACTGCTGTTTGCTAGGATGGGATGTTTTTCAGTTCCCCAGAGCACAAAATGGCCAAGGAAAAGGACAGAACTGAAACCAGAGGTGTACTGTGCTTAGTCCAGAGATCCCATTGCTAGATCCAGAGAATTACTCTTTTAGCCCACAGGGTGAAGTCCACTTACCACCCTGAAGAAGCGCTGGACAAAATCTCCAGACGGCCACTTCTGCTCTTTCAGGGTAGGTCCGAATGACACTCTGGCGGGCTGGACACCAAGCGGGAGGTCCCTGGAAATCACACCCAATGCCTCTCAGGCAATGTGAGTTAGCCCAGGCGAGCTACCACTGTCCACCTCTCTGCCCATAGTGAGCCTTCGAGGAGTTTGGGGTCAGAACCCAAGTCCCAGTCCCATCTGGGTCACTAGAATTTTCTTACCCACATTGTGTGTGTTTGGTTGCTTGAGGGGGCATCAACCCAATGACCACAACCAAGGAGAATTTAGCAAGGGGAATTTTTTTTTTTTTTTTTTTGAGTCAGAGTCTTGCTCTGTCGCCCAGGCTGGAGTGCAGTGGTGTGATTTCGGCTCACTGCAACCTCTGCCACCCGGGTTCAAGCCATTCTCCTGCCTCAGCCTCCAGAGTAGCTGGGATTACAAGCATGTGCCTCCATGCCCAGCTAATTTTTGTATTTTTAGTAGAGACGGGGTTTCACCATGTTGGCCAGGCTGGTCTCAAACTCCTGACCTCAGGGTGATCCATCTGCCTCGGCTTCCCAAAGTGCTGAGATTACACGCGTGACCCAGCATGCCTGGCCTAACAAGGGGGTTTTATTACTTGTGACAAGTAAGGAGAACACCAGGGATGGTTCCCAAAACTGTCTTGTCAAGCTGGGGGCTGGGGCAGATGCAAAAACATAGGGTAATGAGGTGTGATCTAATTGGATCTTGTAATGCAATGATTCCGGGAGCCCCATCTGACTGCCGTGGGCTGAGCCTAGAGCTCAATCTGATTGGATCCTGGATGCCAGGCAATGTCCACTTCTTAATTTTGTCCCCATTCCTCACTCTAAGCACTTAGGTTCCACCTGTGGTTGCGGGCTTGGTTCATCTGGGCATGCTCAGGTTATGTGACCTTCAACCTGGAGGTCCATGACAACTGAAAAACAGATCACAACTTTGGTACATAAAAGTTGAACCCGCCGGGCGCCGTGGCTTTTGCCTGTAATCCCAACACTTTGGGAGGTTGAGGCGGGTGGATCACCCTGAGGTCAGGAGTTTGAGACCAGCCTGGCCAACATGGCGAAACCCCATCTCTGCTAAAAATACAAAAATTAGCCAGATGTGGTGGTGTGTGCCTGTAGTCCCAGCTACTTGGGACGCTGAGACAGGAGAATCAGTTGAACCTGGGAGGTTGCAGTGAGCCAAGATCACACCATTGCACTCCAGCGTGGGTGACAGAGTGAGACCCCATCTCAAAAAAAAAAAAAAAAGTTGGACCAGATTGGTTTGATGTGGTTACACTGAAGTAGTCCGTGTTAAGTGAGCTAATATTTGGACTCAGCCCCTTACAGCACTGTAGGGCTGCCAGAAGGCCAAGAGCTGACTTAAAATTTCAAGAGCTGCAGGTGGCCCCAATGAGTGAAATACCTCCTTGTCATAGAGCTTCAGAGTGAAGTAAGAATCTGAAAAACATTTTACTCACTTATAACCAGCCTTTAGGGGAAATAGAGGGGACATCTTTCAAAAATCATTATGAAAACTATGAACTTGCATTTTTTTCCAAAGCAGCAGAAATACTTCATTGACATCTAAATTTATGAATTGTAGGGAACCAATTTCTTTTGCAAATGTTTTATGCCTATTTCCAAACTGTTTCAAAAGCGATAGTTTTTTCTCACTACAAAGTAATATATATGTCCATTATAGAATCCTTAAAAAGAATAAAGAAGAAAATGAAAATTGATTTTAATATATTAAAGGTACTTAATTAATTCTACCAAAGATATAATAATTAACATTTTTATATATCCTTCCAGTTTTTTTCTCTGCATAATGTATTTTTACCCAATGGGATCACATTGTACATTACTATTTTGAAGGCAGATTTTTTTTCCTCTTAATATACTTGAACCTTTCTTCACAGGAATTCCATTTTTAATAGGTGTGTAGTAATCCACTGTATGATCACATCATCATTTGTTTAATAAATCCCGTCTTGTTGACATTGAAGTTGATTCCAGTTTTTAATATTAATTAAAAACAATGTTGCACTCAGTATTCATGAAAATTTCCTTAAGTCAAATGCCTAAAAATGCTGTTGCTGGGCCAAAAGATACATACGTTTTTAATGTTTTGAGATATACAACTAACTTGTTCCCCCTAAGGCTGTATAAATTTATATCTTCACCAAAAGTATATGAGCATGCTTATCCTCACTGTTCTCAACAATACCAAATATTGTCAAGTAAAATTAACTTTTGACCTCGCTTGTTTGAAATTGGGGGTTGGGGGCAAATCACAAACTTTAAAAAATATATTTACTGATAGCTGTTATTTCTTTGTGTGAGTTGCCTGTTCATCTTTTTTGCCCATTTTATCACTGGACTATTTGACTTTTTTCTATTTATTTATTAGAGCTCTTTAAAGATACTACCCTTTGTTATATATGTTACAAATATTTTTCTACTTTATCATTTGCATTTTTATGAAGTTTTTTTGACATACAGGTCTTTTATTTTCTATGTGGTCAGAGTATCAATCTTTTCTTTATGTTGCCAAACTTATGTGACAAGCCAACCTATATAGAAAAAGATTGATAGTCTAACCATATAAAAATTTAAAAACCCGTATGTCCAAAAACCTTTCCCTACTCCACTCCTCCTAATCAGATAAGTTTATGTATATTTTTCTAGTTCTTACATATTATAATTTTTTACATTTTAGTCTCTGGTATGTCTTTGAAGGTGTGGTTTTAACTTCAGGTTCTTCCCTCAAATGATTAGCTGTCTATCCTAATTTTGTTTATTTGTAATAAATAAAATAATAATTAATAATAATCCATGCTTTCCCCACTGATTTGAAAGGCTGTATTTATCAGATACTAAGTCTTAGAAAATTTGTCTATTGGGGATCTTCTATTTTGTTTCAGTATTTTATTTATTCCCGGGCCAATGATTTCCCCTTATTATTTTACTTTTGCAAATATTCTCACGTTTATTCTTCCAGATGAAGTTTAGAATCATTTTGTCAAATTTGTCAAAATTTTTCTAAATCATATTGAGATTTCTATTAGCATTGTAATAGATGTATAAAGTAAGTTGGGAAGAAGTGACATATTTAAAATACTGAATCTTCCACCGCAGGAAGCAGAGTGTCTCTCTGTGGTTTTCAAAACCCCCTTCAAGTCTCTATATTGTTGTATTGTTTTTTTCTTCACACGGAAGCTACCTACCATTTTTTTGTTAGCTTTATTTCTAGAGTTTTGTGGTTATATTTTTCTGTTTCAAAGGAGACATTGTCTTCTTTGTAGTTTCCAACTGTTTGTGTCATTAAATATATAAAAATACTTTTAAAGCTTGTATATATATTGGTTTATATTTGTTAACCTTAATGAAGATTTTTATTCATTTTATCCAATCTGTGTTGATTAGAGGCAAAAAAGAAAAGAGCTTAGGACCATAATAGATGGGCATTTTTATTCTTTAAAGTATAGTGTACTTATAAATAGCATCCCCTGCTTCTGTACTGGTAATCCTAATTCTCTTTTCTTCAATGCTAAAGATAAAATCTTGCACCAGTCCGGTGTAGAATGAGTGATAAACCAGCCCTTGCATTCAGGTCTTTTGCTAATGCTCTCAATATTAATGCCACTCAAACTTCAATAAAAGCCTGTCTGATTTTCCTGGTGATAATGGTGAAGCCTGGCCCTGCCATAGCGTGGTATCCAGTGTCCACTTTTTACCTTTGTTCTTGTCTACTTGTCTTACAATAATGCAAACACTGACAACCCAAATTGATCTCTATCACTGTACAATATTTACCCATTTCTGACAATGCAGAAATTATGTACCACAAAGTGGAAACACACAAATATTTCTAGCTTTGGCTTTCAGTGGAAGAACTGATCTTCACTTACGCAGCACAGCGGTTTTGTGTATATACTCAGAGAACTTTGACACAATTTGAGGGAAATTAAAACTTTGCAAGGACAAAGCCACTTTCTTTTCCTTTCAAGGGCAAGGCTTTGGCATCCATGTGGAAAAAAATAGTATGGAAAATATAAGGTAGTCATTAATTTTCATTTTGTTATGAGCATGTATTGGATTAACTCAGTTAAACTAAAAAGGTCGCAGCTACTAAACACTTTCTTTTTATTGTTTTTAATTGTACTAATTAGTGATATATATATGTATATACATACACACACACACACACATATATATATACACACACACACACATATATATACACACACACACACATATATATATATATACACACACACATACATCTATATTGCCCTTCTGAGTCTGGGCAGCCCCTGAAAAAAGAGCTTTTGATAGCTGTGAACATCATAGCATCTGACAGTTCAAGGTCTTTGCATGAATTACAATGTCCCTGAACTGCAGGAACTGAGATTGTCATGGTTTAAAAATGGAGAAGCTGAAGTCTGTTTTCTCCACCAGATCAAAGAATCATACTCTTTACTGGGGCCATTCTATGTTTCCATTTTCTGGAACTTATATTTTCAAAACAATTTGTAGGAATATTTGTGTTTCTATTCATGGAATCATTTTTGAACATTGATGTTTGCCACTCCGCATTCACGTTAAAGTTCAAGCAAATAGCCACTTCAACTTCATGAGAGCATGCCTATGTGCACGAGAGCATTCCTTGAATGAAACGTACTTTATTAGGGTCTTTCTCACCTAAAATCAGCATGCACTCTAGACCACAGCTATTGTCTGTCATGATGTTTTTCAAACTGTGCCTCCTGGAGCCCAGGCAAGGGACAGACATGTTGGGTGTCCCCATAAACCAGAGCTGCTTCACTCTCATCTGTTTTGTATACTGAGGTTCTTTGTAAAAGTTTCTTTGAACGGAAACTCACGATGCTATAAATAACAACAAAAACAAACAGTTTAAACACCTGGCCTGGCTGTTTTACTGGGCAGACCTTCCATAATTAACTAGATAATATCAGCTCTTTGGGTGACGGGAGCATCTTCGTAAGTGGCTTGCATCTTTCTCTTTTGTCTGTGTTTTTAGCCAGCTGCTTAGATTCCCCAGCTAATGGTACTGAAATGCAGCCTTGGGGTTCAGCTGTTACTTGTATGGTGTACAAACCTGTCTCTCTCAGCTGTACACAGGGAGCTGTTATAAAAATGCATATTCTTAGCCCCTCCTGCAGATAAGAATCTTCAGGAATGAGGAATCTGTATTTTTTTTTTTTTTTTTTTTTGAGCCTGCTAGGTAAGTAAACCTTTCGTGAATGGTGCTTGGGGCGGGGACTTCACCAAGCTTAGCTAACTAGTTGGCTGACTTGCTGTTAATTTTGTCCTGCCTGCTAATAAGTGTGTGCACCTACGGCAAGGCTCCTCAGATTTTCACGTGCATCCAAATCCAAATTCAGGGTGGGAGGGTGTGTGGGGAATCTTTGAAAATGCAGATTCTGGCTCAGCAGGGTCGGGGCTGGGAGGAGACGCTGAGATGATTCATTTCTAATAAGCTTCCTGGTGATGCCAATACTGCCAGTCCATGGCCCACACTTTGAGTAGCAAGACCCTAGGGCAGGGCCTCTCAGCCTCAGCACTCTTGATATCTGGGGCTGGAACGTTCTTTGTTGGGAGGGGCTGTCCTGCACATTGTAGGACATTTAGCAACACCCCTGGCCACCACCCACTAGGTCCCACTTGTGACACTCCCTCCCACTCATGACAACTACAAACATCTCTAGATGGTTTCAGATTTCCCCCGGGAGGCAAATCGCCCTGGTTGAGAACCACTGCCCTAGATGATCCCGATCATCAGCCAAGTTTAAGATCTGCCATGAGTATGATTTGTCTGCACACTTAAATTATTAAAAAATACAGATTCTGGGTTTATCTGGCCTCCCTAGAGTACAAGCCACAATAAGAAAGAGGACTAACCTTTTTTTTTATTTTATTATTATTATACTTTAAGTTTTAGGGTACATGTGCACAACGTGCAGGTTTGTTACATATGTATACATGTGCCATGTTGGTGTGCCGCACCCATTAACTCATCATTTAGCATTAGGTATATCTCCTAATGCTATCCCTCCCCCCGCCCCCCACCCCACAACAGTCCCCGGTGTGTGATGTTCCCCTTCATGGACAGAGGACTTACCTTGTTTACCACTGTATCTACAGCACCTAGAGGACTGTTGGGCATACAGTAGGTGCCTAATAAATATTTGAATGAATGCATAAAGAACCTAGCACTGCATAGCACATGAAACTCATTCTTCGAGGCCACCTGTTTCTGTTCTCTATTAAGTAGACAGAAAAAGGTTTTCTACTAATACTTCCATTGGGCTTTTTCCCCCGTCAATTCCTTGTTAAGGCCCTAAGTAGTCAGGTTCTCTTGGGGCTAGAGGGCCTATTTAAAGTTCTTATCCTACAAATGCCTTCTTCTTGACAAAGTTCTCTCCTCAAGAGATCATCCCACATGCCCTTTGATGACCAAGTCTGGGAAAAGCCCAAATCCTTTGTGTTTTCTAACGAAATTACCCCCTACAACTCAAAACCAGCTTCCTGTTCCGAGAAAGGCAAGGATTGTCTGCACTCGCCATCCCCCTTTCTTTCGGCCCCACTCCCCTTTCATCTTTCCCACCACTTACACCCTCTTGCCAGCTGTTGAGGAGCTCTGGGGACTCCTCTGCAAGTCAGAGCGCGGTCAGGGCTCTCCAACCCTTGCACCGGGTGCACCCTGTGCTCCCTCCCAGAGCTGGAAAGCATCCACGCCGGTTCCATCTCATTCCATGGGACCAGCATGTACCCAGTGGCAGGCCTTTCATGTCCTGCTCACCTCACGAGGGCAAGCCCGACAGAATGGTTTGAGCCTAAGTAGAAAAAAATTTGCCCAGCCTCCTGGCCCTGCATGCCTCCAGCAAGGGCAGAGAGACGAACCATCTCTATGCGGGACATGCCCCAGGGCCCCTTCTAGATCCCCATCCCTGTCATGTGGGGTAGGCCCCCTGCTGCCCACCCTGGCTCCCTCCTACGCCCTTCATGAAGGATCCCTCTCCAAGCCCATGCAGCCTTAAATTATTCCAGCTTTGGTCTCTCACAGTGCTTAACCCCATGCCCTTCCCATCTTTGTGCACGTGGTCCAAGCATTCTGGGCATGATGGGTTAATCCTTCCTGCCAGCTGCGCATCCTGGCTGAGCTTTGTTTCCAGTACTCTCCATCCAGCCCAGAGGAAGCGCAGCTCAGCCATGGTGCTCTACTCCCAAGGAAGCCCCAGGATGTCCCTGCCAGGGTCCACCCTCCCACATCAGCATTCCCCGTGCCCATGGGCCTTGGTGGGGAGATGCACGGATGCTATGGGGTCTGTGCTCAAGCATGCTGGGGAACGCTACTCTGTGAGAAACCTCGGGGTCGGGGGGGAAGTTCTTTGCTCTTAGGTTCCTAGGGCCTCGGCTGTGCTAATGCTCACATCAGCTTCCTAGAGGGAACACCAGAATTTGGGTTTTCCCAAATGTGTTTGGCATGGACTAAATGACTCAACAACACCACACTCTACACCTCTCTGTTGTTCCTTGCCTTTAAACATACGAGATGCCAGGTGTGGTGGCTCATGTCTGTAATCCCAGCACTTTGGGAAGCTGAGGCAGGTGGATCACTTGAGGTCAGGAGTTTGAGACCAGCCTGGCCAAGATGGCAAAATCCTATCTCTACTAAAAATACAAAAATTAGCTGAGCATGGTGGTGAATGCCTGTAATCCCAGCTACTCCAGAGGCTGAGCCAGGAGAATCACTTGAACCCGGGAGGTGGAGGTTTCAGTCAGCCGAGATCGCGCCACTGCACCCCAGGCTGGGTGACAGAGTGAGACTCCGTCTCAAATAAACATTGGAGCACCCGTGTCATTGCTGAATACTTACCTCCAGCCTAGGCCCTTCCTCTGAGGTCCAATTCTGCATGTGCCCCTCCCAGATGGTAGTTGCTCATGGTCAATACCACACCCATGACCTCCTCCCACTCCCCTCACCCAGCACCACAGAAACTCCCCTGGACTGCCCCGGGTTCCCTGCCTGAGCCAGAATCCAAGACTCACCCTGGTCACCTGCCTGGCTCTCATTCATTACGTCCATTCATCATTGGTTTCCCCATTTTAAAGTTTCTGGAATGTATCTACTTCTCTCCATCACCATGGCCACCACCCTATTTCAAGCTAACATCGTCTCAAGCTTGTATTCCAGATCCCTCCTAACTGGGCATAGATCCATTCTTTCTTCCCTAGCCGATTTGTCTTTGATACTGCAGTCGATGTGATATGACTTAATTGCCTACCTGATCACTTTACCACACAATACAGAACCCTTCTTGGCCTCTGTATTATTCAGTGCTCTCTAGAGAAATACCTGGAGAAACAGAATATATGTATGGGGGGCAGGGAAGAGGCGGGTTTATTTTAGGAATTGGCTTGTTCCGATTATGGGGTTGGCAAGTCTGGAATCTGCAGGGCAGGCCAGCAGGCTGGAAAGTCAGGTGAGTTGGTGTTGCCATCTTGAGCCTGAATCCTGCAGGGCAGCAGGCTGGAAGCAGGCGGGGTTTCTACCGTGAAGTCTTGAGAATTTCTTCTACCTTGGGGGAGCTCAGTATTTGCTCTGAAGATCAGCACCTGATTGGAGGAGGCCCACCCTCATTAGGGAGAGTAATCTGCTTTACATCAAAGTCTGCTGATTTAAATGTTAATCTCATCTAAAAAATATCTTCATGGCAACATTTAGACTGGTGGTTGACCGAACAACTGGCACATGGCTGAGCCAAGTTGACACATAAAATTAACAGTCACAGCTTCCTTTTGCACTCAGAATGAAGGCCAACATCCCAGATGTGGCTACAGGGTTCTGTGTGGCCTAGCCCCTGCCTTCCTCCTCTCTCAGATCTCCCGCTTACACTGTGCTCTGGTCACACAGCCCTCCCTCCATATCCTCAATATAACATCTCCCTCCTGTCCTGGGACCAGGACACAAGCTGCCCCCTGTGCCCGAAGTGCCTGGTTCCCTGCTCCCAGCGAGTGTGCACACCCCCACACACATTGTCTAGGGAAAGCCTACTCTATCAGCCTCCAGATCCTGGCTCAAATGCTGCTGCTTCTGGGAAGAGTTCCTGCCCCAGGTGGATTCTCCTGCTCTCTAACTAAAACATACACAGTGTGCAGCAATGCATTTTGTTGTGTGATTATTTAATTAATATATGCCCTCCAACAGACCGTAAATTCCTTGAAGGCAAGCACCAGCTCCCTTTTGCCCACCAGAGAACCCTCAATGCTCATAGGTGTTGAGTGAATGATTAGGAAAAGGCAAACTGGGCTGGAACACCATGTTTCTTTCATTCCTTGCAGGACTCACTACTCGGCTGCCTGCGGCCCGCCCTGGCCCTGGCCTCCCCAACCCTTCCATGTTCCTCGCTCTCTTGCTTCTGACTCGGCAGGCCTTCTTTGCTCCTCCTGTGATGGGTAGGGGACTAAGCAGAGGAGATGCTCCAGGTGCTGCCTGCATGTGGCTTGGGTTTGAAACTGCCCAAATGAGCCCTTCCTCAGGCATCCATTTCCATCCTTGAAGAAAAATGTTTAAGACAAACGGACATACTAAGGATTTTAACTGGAAGAGGAGGACTGGGGGCCTTGCCTTTTCTTGAGTCTTCCTGTGCATATCTGTATATAAGAATTCATAAAGAAAAAGCTGCTGCAATATATTATTAAGAAAATTTCACATTTTAATTCTCCAGTGGAAACCGAAACAATGTATATAGACAGACCAGAATTTGCTCTACTTTTTTCCCAAACAGTTAAAATAAAAGGAGTTGACTTGTCTAACATTTAATCATTGTTAATATTTTCCTGTGGGCTTGGAAGTTTACAGACTGTAAGCCCAGAGATTATATTCAATGACTCTTAAAGTAACCATCTTCTTTCATGATAGGTCAGCCATTCCAAGGTTGGGTAGTTTATGTCCTGAATGTTACAGAGCACGACTAAAATGAGCATTATGAAAATTTAAGATGTGTTAGATCCACCAGCTGTGTGTTGGTAGCATCCAACAGCTGTACTCCAGCAAATTCAATAGATATAGTCACAGAGACTTGAGTCTAAAGCAAAGCACATTTGCCCTGTGACTTACATCCTAATGCAGAGAGATGCTTCATCTTCATTCTGACTGACTCCTCTTAGCAGAGCTTCCTACCACTCTGGCAGGCATTCTGTCAGCTGGTTAATGGTCTATGAAACTGAAATCCACCAGGCTATGCCACTGTTCCGAATCCTTCGGTAAGGAAAGAATTTTTTTTTAACTTTTATTTTGGGTTCAGGGGTACATGTGCAGGTTTCTTATACAGGTAAACCGCGTGTCATGGAGGTTTAGTGTACAGATTATTTCATCACCCAGGTACTACCCCACAGGTATTTTTTATGATCTTCTCCCCCATCCCACCCTCCACCCTCAAGTAGGCCCCAGTGTGTGGTGTTCCCCTCTTTGTGTCTGTGTGTTCTCATCATTTAGCTCCCACTTGTAAGTGAAAACATGTAGTACTTGGCCTTCTGTTCCCACATTAGATTGCTTAGGGTAATGACCTCCAGCTCTATCCATGTTGCTACAGTGAACATGATTTCATTCTTTTTTAAGGCTGCATAGTATTCCATGGTGTATATGTACCACATTTTCTTCATCCACTCTACCACTGATGAACATTGAGATTAATTCCATGCCTTTGCTATTGTGAATAGTGCTACAGTGAACATACATGTGCATGTGTCCTTATGGTAGAATGATTTATATTTCTTTGGGTATATACCCAAAAATGGGATTGCTGGGCTGAATGGTAATTCTATTTTAAGTTCTTTGAGGAATCACCATGCTGCTTTCCACAGTGGCTGAACTAATTTACACTCCCACCAACAGTGTATAAGCAGTCCCTTCATTCCCTTTTCTTGGCAACCTCTCCAGCCTCTGTTTTTTTGTTTGTTTGTTTTGTTTTGTTTTTGAGACAGAGTTTCACTCTTGTTGCCTAGGCTGGAGCTCAATGGCATGATCTAGGCTCACTGCAACCTCCACCTCCCAGGTTCAAGTGATTCTCATGCTTCAGCCTCCCAAGTAGCTGGGATTACAGGCACCTGGCACCACACCTGGCTAATTTTTGTATTTTTAGTAGAGATGGGGTTTTACCACGTTGGCCAGGATGGTCTCAAACTCCTGAACCTCAGCTGATCTGCCTGCCTTGGCCTCCCAAAGTGCTGGGATTACAGGCGTGAGCCACAGCAGCCAGCCTGCATCTGTTATTTTTTTACTTTTTAATAATAGCCATTCTGCTGTGTGAGATGGTATCTCATTGTGGTTTTCATTTGCATTTCTCTAATGATTAATGCTGTTGAGCATTTTTTTCATATGCTTGTTAACCACATGTATATCTTCTTTTGAAAAGTGTCTGTTCATGTCCTTTGCCCACTTTTTAATGGGGTTGTTTTTTTTTCTTGTAAATTCATTTAAGCTCCTTACAGATTATGGATATTACAACTTTGTCAGATGCCTAGTTTGCACATATTTTCTCCAATTCTGTAGGTTGTCTGTTTAGTCTGTTGATAGTTTCTTTTCAGTAAAACAACTCTTAGTTTAATTAGGTCTCATTTGTCAATTTCTGTTTTTGTTGCAATTGCTATTGGTGTCTTCATCATAAATCTTTGCCAGGTCCTATGTCCAGAATGACATTTCCTAAGTTATCTCCCAGAGTTTTTATAGTTTTAGGTTTTACATTTAAGTCTTTAATCCATCTTAAGTTGATTTCATATGTGGTGTAAGGAAGGGGCCCAGTTTCAATCTTCTGTCTATGACTAGCCAGTTAGTCCAGCACCATTTATTGAATAGGGAATCCTTTCCCCCATTGTTTTTGTCAGGTTTGTCAATGATCAGATGGTTGTAGGTGTGTACCATTATTTCTGGGATCTCTATTCTGTTCCATTGGTCTATGTGTGATATGGTTAGGTTTTGTGGCCCCACCCAAATCTCATCTTGAATTGTAATCCCCATAATCCCCATGTGTCAAGGGCAGGACCAGGTGGAGGTGATTGAATCATGGGGGTGGTTTCCCCTATGCTGTTCTCGTGATAGTGGGTGAGTCTCACGAGATCTGATGGTTTTATAAGTGGCTGGCATTTCCCCTGCTTGCACTCACTGTGTCCTGCTGCCCTGTGAAGAAGGTGCCTGCTTCTCTTTGCCTTCCACCATGATTGTAAATTTCCTGAGGCTTTTCCAGTCATGTGGAACTGTGAGTCAATTAAACCTCTTTCCTTTATAAATTACCTAGTCTTGGTTATTTCTTCCTAGCAGTGTGAGAATGGACTAATACAATGGGTCTGTTTTTATACCAGTACCATGTTGTTTTGGATACAATAGCCTTGTAGTATAGTTTGAAGTCAGGTAATGTGATGCTTCCAGCTTTGTTCTTTTTGCTTAGGATTGCCTTGGCTATTCTGGCTCTTTTTTAGTTCTATATGAATTTTAAAATAGTTTTTGAATTTTGTGAAGAATGTCATTGGTACTTTGATAGAAATAGTGTTGAATCTGTAAATTGCTTTTGGCACTATGGCCATTTTAATGATATTGATTCTGTGTTTTTTTTTTTTTTTTTTTTTTTTTTGGATGGAGTCTCACTCTGTCGCCCAGGCTGGAGTGCAGTGGCGCGATCTCGGCTCACTGCAAGCTCTGCCTCCCGGGTTCATGCCATTCTCCTGCCTCAGCCTCCGAAGCAGCTGGGACTACAGGTGCCTGCCACCACGCCCAGCTAATTTTTTGTATTTTTAGTAGACAAGGGGTTTCACCATGTTAGCCAGGATGGTCTCAATCTGCTGACCTCGTGATCCGCCCACCTCAGCCTCCCAAAGTGCTGGGATTACAGGCATGAGCCACCATGCCCAGCCAATATTTATTCTTTCTACCCATAAACATGGAATGTTTTTCCATTTGTATGTGTCATCACTGATTTCTGGCAGTGTTTTGTAACTCTTATCGTAGAAATCTTTCACCTCCCTGGTTTAGCTGTATGCCTAGGTTTTTAATTATTTTTGTGGCAACTGTGAATGGGATTGTGTTCCTGATTTGGCTCTTGGTTTGGATGTTGTTGGTGTATAGGAATGCTACTGATTTCCATACATTAATTTTATATCCTGAAACTTTGCTGAAGTTGTTTATCAGATCAAGGAGCTTTTGGGCAGAGACTCTGGGGTTTTCCAGATATAGAATTATGTCATCCGCAAACAGGGAGAGTTTGACTTCCTCCTCTATTCTTATCTGAATGCCTTTTATTTCTTCCTCCTGACTGCTCTGGACAGGACTTCCAGTACTATGTTGAATAGGAGTGGTAAGAGAGGGCATCCTTGTCTTGTGCCAGCTTTCAAGGCGAATGCTTCTAGCTTTTGCCCATTCAGTATGATGTCAGCTGTGGGTTTGTCATAGATGGCTCTTGTTATTTTGAAGTATATTCCTTCAATGCCTAGTTTATTGAGGGTTTTTAACAGGAAGAGATGTTGAATTTTATTCACATCTCTTTTATTTCTGCACCTATTGAGATAATTATGTGGTTTTGGGAAATTTTTTAGTTCTGTTTATGTGATTAATCACATTTACTGATCTATGTATGTTGAACCAGCCTTGCATCCCAAGGATAAAGTCTACTTGATCTTGGTGGATTAACTTTTTGATGTGCTGCTAGATTCAGTTTATTAGTATTTTCTTGAGGATTTTTGCTTCTATATTCATTTGGGATATTGGCCTGGGGTTTTCTTTTTTTGTTGCATCTCTGCCTGGTTTTGTATCAGGATGATGCTGGCCTCAGAATTAGTTGGGGAAGAGTCCCTGCTCATTTTTTTGGAACAGTTTCAGTAGGAATGGTACCAGCTCTTTATATATCTGGTAGAATTCGGCTGTGAATCCATCTGGTCCTGGGCTTTTCTTGGTTAGTAAGCTTTTTATTACTGCTTAAATTTTGGAACTCATTACTAATCTGTTCAGGGATTCAGTTTCTTCCTGGTTCAGTCTTTGGAGATTGTATGTGTCCAGGAATTTATCCATTTCTTCTAGATTTTCTAGTTTGTCTGCATAGAGGTGTTCATAGTACTGTCTGGGTTTTTTGTGTTTTGTGTGTGTGTGTGTGTGTGTGTTTTTTTCTTTGTATTTCTCTGGGGGTAAGTGGTAATGCCCCCTTTGCCATTTCTAATTGTGTTAATTTGGATTTCCCTCCTTTTTTTATTAGTCTAGCTAGCAGTCTATCTTATTAATTTTTTCAAAGAACCAACTCCTGGATTTGTTGATGTTTTATATGTTTTTTGTTTGTTTCTTAATTCCCTTCAGTTCAGCACTGATTCTGGTTATTTCTGTCATCTAGTAGCTTTAGGATTGGTTTTCCCTTGCTTCTCTAATTCCTCTAGTTATGATGTTAGGTTGTTAATTTGAGATCCTTCTTACTTTTTCATGTGGCCATTTAGTGCTATAAACTTCCATCTGAACACTACCTTAGCTGTGTCCCAGAGATTCTGGTATGTTGGATCTTTGTTCTCATTAGTTGCAAAGAACTTCTTGATTTCTGCCTTGATTTCATTATTTACCCCAAAGTCATTCAGGAACAGGTGTTTAATTTTCAATGTAATCGTATCGTTTTGAGCAATTTTTTTAGTATGGATTTTTTATTTTTCTTGTGCTATGGCTTGAAAGTGTAGTTGGTATGTTTTTTTTTTTTAATTTGCTGAGGATTGTTTTATGTCTGATTGTGTGGTCAATTTAAGAGTACGTGCTATGTGGCAATCAGAAGAATGTATATTCTCTTGTTTTGGGGTAGAGAGTTCTGTAGATGTTTGTGCTAGGTCCATTTGGTCCAGTATTGAATTCAGGTCCTGAATATCTTTGTTAATTTTCTGCCTCAATGATCTAATACTGTCAGTGGGGTGTTGAGATCTCTCACTATTATTGTGTGGGAGTCTAAGTCTCTTTGTGGGTCTCTAACAGCTTGCTTTATTAATCTAGGTGCTCCTGTGTTAATGCATATATATTTAGGATAGTTAGGTCTTCTTATTGAATTGAATGCTTTGCCATTATGTAATGCCCTTCTTTGTCTTTTTTGATCTCTGTTGGTTTAAAGTCTGTTTTGTCTGAAATTAGGAATAGCAACCCCTGCTTTTATTCTGTTTTCCATTTGCTTGGTAGATTTTTCTCCATCACTTCATTTTGAGCCTATGGGTGTCACTGCATGCGAGATGGGTCCCTTGAAGACAGCATACCATTGGGTCATTGGGTCTTGCTTCTTTATCCAGGTTGCCATTCTGTGACATTTTTTTTTTCTTTTTAAACAGGGTCTTGCACTGTCACCCAGGCTGGAGTGCAGTGGCACAGTCTCAGTTCAGTGCAACCTCTGGCTCCCAGGTTCAAGTGATTCACCCACCTCAACCTCCTGAGTAGCTGGAACTACAGGCACACGCCACCATGCCTGGCTAATTTTTTGTATTTTTAGTAGATTTGGGCTTTCTCCATGTTGGCCAGGCTGGTCTCAAACTCCTGGCCTCAAGTGATCTGCCCACCTGGGCCTCCCAAAGTGCTGGGATTACAGGTGTGAGCCACCATGCCCAGCCCACCCTGTGCCTTTTAATTGGGTCATTTCCTATTTACATTCAAAGTTAGTATTGATATGTGCGGATTTGATCTTGTCATCACATTGTTAGCTGGTTATTATGCAGGCTTGTTTGTGTGGTTGCTTTATAGAGTCACCAGTCTGTGTACTTGAGTGTGTTTTTGTAGTGGCTGGTAATGGTCCTTCCTTTCCATATTTAGTGCTCTTTTCAGGACCTCTTTTAAGGTAGGTCTGGTGGCAAGGAATTCCTCAACATTTGCTTTGAAAAAGATCTTACTTATCCCTCATTTATGAAGCTTAGTTTGGCCGGATATGAAATTCTTGGTTGGAAATTCTTTTCTTTAAGAATGCTGAATATAGCCTGATCTCTTCTGGCTTTTAGGGCTTCTGCTGAAAGATCTGCTGTTAGCCTGATAGGGCTCCCTTTGTAAGTGAACTGCCTCTTCTCTCTACATTTCTTTAACATTGTTTCTCTCATTTTCATCTTGGAGAATCTGATGATTATGTGTCTTGGGGATATTCTTCTTGTGTATTATTTTGCAGGAGTTCTCTTCATTTCCCGAACTTGAATGTCAGCCTCTCTAGCAAGGTTGAGGAAGTTTTCATGTGTAATATCCTGAAATAGTTTTCCAAGTTGCTTACTTTTTCCCTGTCTCTTTCAGGAACACCAATGAGTCGCTGATTTGGTCTCTTTACATAAGCCCATATTTCTCAGAGGTTTTATTCATTCTTTTTACTTTATTTTCGTCTAACTGAGTTATTTCAGAGCCAGTCTTTAAGCTGTGAGATTCCTTCTTCTGCTTGGTATGTTCTGCTGTTAATACTTGTGATTTCATTATGAAATTCTTATAGTACGTTTTTTATCTTTTTCAGATCAGTTTGGTCCTTTTTTATAATGACTGTTTCATCTGTCAGCTTCTGTATCATTTTATTGCAATTCTTAGATCCCTTGGATTGGGTTTCAACTTTCTCCTAAATCTCAATCATCTTTTTTGCTATCCATACTCTGAATTCTATTTCTGTCTTTCAGCCATTTCAGCCTGGTTAAGAACCCTTGCTGGGGAACTAATGCAATTGTTTGGAAAGAAGACACTCTGGCTATTTGAGTTGCCAGAGTTCTTGGGCTGGCTCTTTCTCATCTGTGTGGGCTGGTGGTCCTTTAACTGTGATGTAAGTTGAGTACAGTCAGTAGACTTTTCTGGATGTTTTCAGAGGACCAAGGCTTTTTGCAAGGTCTTTATTTATAGTTAATTATTGTCCTTGGTTTCGCATGGGGAGTATATTACCAAAGGTGTTTTTTTTTTTGTTGGTTCGTTTGTTTTGTTGTTATTGTTCTGCTTTTTTTGTTTTGTTTGTTTTTGGTGTTGAAGTTTTGGGCTTTGATACAGTAGATGGCACTTAAACGTAAGGGCCAGCAGGTAGGCTCTTCCTCAGCCATGCAGCTCCTTGGCGTTTCCACACATTTTCAGCTGTGTGCCCTCTCAGTGTTCTGAGGTGTAGGCTCCTCTCCCACTTAGGTGCTGGCTGCAGATCTCGGCTTGGCACTCCCAGGATGCCCACTGCAGCTCTGGGGTAAGCTCAGGCTTTATATTCTGTCCTCAGCTTGGAGGCAGCAGAGGAAGGGCCCTTAGCAGTGGTTGTAGCAGAGGGCCTTTCACTTCTGTTGTGGGGCTCCACCCACCAAGAGATGCAGAGCCATGATCAATCATTGCGATTGGCCTGGGATGGGGCAGCTGTGCTGTGGACCTAAGTGGAGGGGACCCTTTCCAGTGATGAGCAGGGTGGGTGGGTGGGTCCCAGGGGAGACAGCCTGGCCTCTTCTCCTTAGGGCAACTGCAGCTTGCTGGCAGTATGGTTGAAGCACTCAGGGTCTTTGTTCCTTTCCCAGTCCAAGGGCAGCAAGGCAGCACCCTTGCAATGGCAGTGGCCGAGGAGATCTCGGTTGCCTCTAGGAGCTGCACCTCAGAGAACTGCTGAGCTACTGGTCTGGATGGGAGTGAACACTGGGGCAGGGAGGCTGCACTGCTGGCCTGAGCCAGGGACTCTACTTGTTGAAGAGTGGGGCATGGGGGCTCACAGGGAAGAGACGGGACTCCTCTCTGGTGGCTGTGGTGTGCTGGAGGTGCCAGCATAGTGACTAGGCCCTTTGTTCCTTCCCCAGCCCAAGGGCAGTTAGGGCACTACCACTACAGCTGCAATGGTAGGAAAGAATCTTACTCTACATCTTTTATAATTTGGGATTTTTCCTTTTGCATTGTAAGAAAGCAGAGTCCAGTTACTTTATATGGTAACACATAGATATTTGATCCCTGAATTTGGGGCAGGAATAAATCTGATGGGAGACAAATGGATCTATCAGGATGGAAGTGCTCTGCTATTCCCTCAGGAAGAAAAGATGACTTACTTGAAGTCACAGGCAGAAGTTAAACAGCTGATAGAAGGCCTCCAGCAAGTCCAGGAATTCTGTGTGAAACAATTGTCAACGGGCAGCTTCCCATCCTTGAGCCCACATGCCGCACAGCCCCAATTTCTTCATCCCCAGCTCCCCTAATTTTTGCCCACAGGCTGGTTGCAAGGGTAACACTAGATGTAAGTGCTGTTATTATTTCTGTCTCCATGCCAGCAACGTCCACCAATTGGTTGGGGGACTATATGAAGGAAGAGACCATTTTACATACTCTTTCAAAATGCTTGTGTATAAAAATCTCCTTGAAAAATACTGACTTGGGATGGGCACGGTGGCTCATGGCTGTAATCCCAGCACTATGGGAGGCCGAGGCGGGTGGATCACCTAAGGTCAGGAGTTCGAGACCAGCCTGGCCAACATGGCAAAACCCCGTCTCTACTAAAAATACAAAAAAATTAGCTGGGTGTTGTGGCAGGAGCTTGTAGTCCCAGCTTCTCGGGAGGCTGAGGCAGGAGAATTGCTTGAACCCAGGAGGCAGAGGTTGCAGTGAGCCGAGATCGCGCCATTGCACTCCAGCCTAGGTGACAAGAGCAAAACTCCATCTCAAAAAATAAATAAATAAATAAATATACTGACTCATATACACTTGCCTAACTGCTAGAGGTTTTCCCCCCAAAATTCTAGTGTTTGACCCACTAGCTATTGCAAATGCCTATTATTCCTTTTTCAATTGCTGTATTTAAGCCACAAAGAGCAGCCCAAAGAGGCAGAGGCACAACTGTTACCAACAACCAAAGGAAACCAAAAATACAAAAAAAAAAAAAAAAACCCAAAACCAGAAAAATTGAGTAGAGCAGGAACCCTCCCTCTGCTTCTCTCTTTGTGCCACATGACACAGGCCACAGGTGTTTGTGATCTCCAGATGAGAGAAAGACTTCATGATTGGCCACTGGCCTCAGGCTAGAACACTGAAGAAAAAGTTTCTTTGTGCCAAGGTTGGTATGTGAAGCCCTGGGTTTCAAGCCCCCTTGTTCCCATCTGCCCTGGATGCAAGTGTGTCTGAAAGCCATGGGCCTAGGCAGCTGTTGGATGCATTGTGTGGAAGAAAGAACAGCGGGGCTCCCTGAGGTACACAGCTGGCCTTCTCAGCCGGCCCTTTTTGGGGGTGCTACCTGGCCATGCGAGGTTGGCTCTGGATCAGCAGCAGCTTGTGGATAAGTTTTGAAAGAGTCAGATCCACAGAGCACCTTGGAAAGGTGTCCTCTGCAAGTGAGGGGCTATAGGCACAAGAGTGGCCTGCCTGGTGGACAGCGTTGCAGCACTTGAGGGCCTGTGGCTGTGATTCCCAGGCAGGGTGGAGGTGCGGGAGCATGGCAGTCCTCCATCTTGGGCATCTCCTATGTGCTAGACTCTCTGCTGGATGATGGGGACTTGAAAGTGGATAGGCCGTGGTCACTGCCCTGGAGCAGCAGGAAGATCTGGAAACAAATCCTCCTGACATCATCGGTACTGGGTCTTCCCTCTGGCCTGTAAACACCACCAGCAGAGAAGAAGTCTGAGTTCCTGCTGTGTCCCCAGCTCAGAGCCCAGGGCTGGCCCCCAGTAGAAGCACAATACAGATCTAGTGGCTGGATAAATAAAACAAGGCAGGCGCAGTGAGAGCCCAAAGGAGGAAACAAGTAACTCTGCTTGCAAAGTGTTTTCACAAGAGAAGCTGGAACTGGCCCTCAAAGGATAGGATTATCTGCGCAGACAGCAGGAGAGGGAATCCCGAGCAGAGAAAATATCACGTGCAAATGCCTGGAAGTAGAAAACAGCATTGCCCGCTCAGGGAAACCCAAGGAGGCCACCGTGTTTTGAGCATAGGCTCCATGGAAGATCGTGCAAGGAGAGAGAAGGTTCATGGATTGTGTGCTGTATGGGAGGGCCTGAGTTTCTTGATGGGACTTGCATTTAGAAAGCTGACTCTTTAAGGGCCAGGAGAACAGATCAGATCAGAATGGGTGGCAAGACGGGCTCAAGACTTGCTGTGCTCATCAGACAGCCCAGCAGAGCCCTCCCAGGACCCCAGCGGCCCTCGGCAACCCCTGGTGCAGCACCGGCTTATAGTAAATCCTTCATAAATATTGGTTGACTTTTTTCATGGCATCGCTGGGCCCTGAATCCAGGTCTTCTGATCCTTCCATTTCTTTTACATAAAGAGCTCTCCAAATATTTAGTCAAAGAGTTTTGGGTTTCGGTTTAATTCTTAAGCTTCAGTTTACTATGTCTTTTGAATTCTAGCTTTCAGCATTTCACCTCTTTGTAACAGAGGTTCAATCTTTTAAAAAATGCACTTTGGAACTAAAGATCAATAGAGTTTATCTTCAGGAGTGTCAGCAAATACTCACTTTATCAAGTCATTGCTACTCAGAACTAGGCTATTTAAATAGTTGTAGTGTTGATACGTTTGTCATTCCTGCATTTTAAAATATTCACCTTCACAATTCAGTTTCTAAACTTTTCTACTGAAATTAACACAAATGTTTGACTGAGTTCGTATTTTATAAAAAGATATCAGGTCTAGTTTTTCTACCCATGTTTGCAGGAGTAAATAGAGGCAATAGATTTCACAGCTGACATTAGGATTATTATTAATCTAGGCCTCAGTGGCACCCAGCTGGCACCCATAGAGACCTGACCTTATCTTTGATGGATTCAAAGCCAGTGATTTCTATCCAGTGCTCAGGGGAAGCACACAGCCGTGCCATCTCTTTGTTCTCTCCTTATTGCAGAATCAGTTGCAAGGCCTCCCTCTTCTTAAGGCCCCTGCTTTTGGAGCTCAGCACCTCTCCAGATGCCTGTGACATTAGTGCCATTTGATGGGGCAGCCACCTGGGGTGCCAGGCAGATGTGGCACCTGCCAAAAGAGGGTATCCTGCTTGGCAGGGCAAGGCCACCCAGAGTCCTTGGACTGGCTCCACAGCTGTTCAGTTATTCTAAGCAGAAGGTTTGGGCCTCAGGAAGAGAGAAGTAGGAGACCTGCTTCTTCCTCCTGCCATTGCCCCGCCCTGCCCTCCACACTGCCTGCTCTCCCTCGAACCTGGAACTTTAATTTTCCATGAATAATTCATGGCCAGTAGCAGTTCAAAGCACTCTCCTTAACTCTGGGATTGTACTTTCACAAACACCAAAGCCTTAGGCTAAAGGGCTATAGCAGCTTTCCAGACCTCTGACAGCCATTTAAAGAAGACCAAGGCTGGGCACAGTGGCTCATGCCTGTAACCACTTTGGGAGACCAAGGTAGGAGGATCACTAGCTTGAGGCCAGTTGCTTGAGACCAGCCTGAGCAACATAGTGAGACCTTGTCTCTATAAAAAATTTAAAATTAGGCTGGGTACTGTGACTCATGCCTGTGATCCCAGCACTTTAGGAGGCCAAGGCAGGCGGGCCACCTGAGGTCAGGAGTTTGAGACCAGCCTGGCCAACATATAGTGAAACCCTGTCTCTACTAAAAAAAACACAAAAATTAGCTGGGCGTGGTGGTGCACACCTGTAGTCCCAGCTACTTGGGAAGCTGAGGCAGGAGAATGGCTTGAATCTGGGGAGGCAGAGGTTGCAGTGAGCCAAGATCACGCCACTGCACTCCAGCCTGGGTGACACAGCAAGACTCCATCTCTCAAATAAATAAATATATAAATAAATAAATAATTTAAAAAATTTAAAAATTAGCCAGGCATGGTGGTGAATACCTATAGTCCCAGCAGCTTGGGAGGCTGAGGTGGGAGGATCACCTGAGCCTGGGAGGTCAAGGCTACAGTGAGCTATGATAGCACCACTGCACTCCAGCCAGGGTGACAGAGTGAGACTATTTCTAAAAATTAAAAAATATACATTTTTTAAAGAAGACTGCAGGGAGGGGCATTCCTTTTCGAGCCCCTGAATCATGACATGCGAATCATGGGTACTGTCAGTGAGTGACAGCAGCCCTGCTTGGGGGCAGAATGGCACAGCTCTCCAGATACCCTGAGCTGTTCTAAATCACCAAGTGCTCTGCGTGAAAACGCTTGGGTGTGGGTGTGTTCTGTGATGTGGCCCCTCACCTGACTAAGCTGCGTTCTCTAAGGGTAGCTCTTTATCATACAAGTGAGTGTATTTGAGTACATAATAAAGAGGCACATAGGAATGTGTGGACTGGGGAGTATTTACTGGCACCCCACAGTGGGGTTCTCAAACCTGAAAGTTTCAATCACTGGGGAATCTCGGTGAAATGCAGATTCCCATTCCATAGTTGGGACAAGCCAAGAATCTGCTTATGTGCTAGGCTGTCAGATGATATGGATGCTGGTGGACCACTCTTGGAGCAGGCCTTCTCATCTTTGGCTGCAGATTCCCATCTGTATTAGTCTATTTTCACATTGCTATAAAGAACTACCTGAGGCTGGGTAATTTATAAAGAAAAGAGGTTTTATTGGCTCATGGTTCCACAGGCTGTATAGGAAGCATGGCTGAGGAGGCCTCAGGAAACTTACAATCATGGAGGAAGGAAAAGAGAAAGGAAGGAAAAGAGGAAGGTCTTAAATGGCCAGAGCAGGAGGAAGAGGGTGCAAGGGGAGGTGCTACACCTTTTAAACAATGAGATCTCATGATAACTCACTATCAGAAGAACAGCAAGGGAGAAATCCACCCCCATGATCCAGTAACCTCCCACCAGGCCCCTCCTCTGACATTGGGGATTACAATTCAACATAAGATCTGGGCAGGGATACAAAACCAAACTATATCAACATCTCGGAGGAGTTTTTAGACATCTCAATGCTTGATATGGTTTGGCTGTGTCCCCATCCAAATCTCATCTTGAATTGTGGTTCCCATAATCCCCATGTGTCATGGGAGGGACCCAGTGGGAGGTAATTGAATCATGGGGGTGGTTACCTCCATGCTATTCTCATGATAGTGAGTGAGTTCTCATGAGATATTTGCTTGGCACTTCTCCTTCCTGCTGCCATGTGAAGAAGGATGTGTTTGCTTCCCCTTCTGCCATGATTGTGAGTTTCCTGAGGCCTCCCCAGCCCTTCAGAACTGTGAGTCAATTAAACCTCTTTCCTTTATAAATTACCCAGTCTCAGATATGTCCTTATAGTAGCATGAAAATGGACTAATACAGTATATTGGTATTGGGTAGTGGGGCACTGCTATAAAGATACCTGAAAATGTGGAAGCGACTTTGGAAGTGGGTAACAGGGAGAGGTTGGAACAGTTTGGAAGGCTCAGAAGAAGATAGGAAGATGTGGGAAAGTTTGGAACTTCCTAGAGACTTGTTGAATGGCTTTGACCAAAATGCTGATAGTGATGTGTACAATGAAGTCCAGGCTGAGGTGGTCTCAGACGGAGATGAGAAACTTCTTGGAAACAGGAATAAAGGTGACTCTTGTTATGATATAGCAAAGAGACTGGTGGCATTTTGCCCTGCCCTAGAGATTTGTGGAACTTGAGAGAGATGATTTACGGTACTGGTGGAAGAAATTTCTAAGCAGCAAAGCATTTGAGAGGTGACAGAGCATAAACGTTTGGAAAATTTGTAGCCAGATCATGCAGCAGAAAAGAAAAACCCATTTTCTGGGGAGAAATTCAAGCTGACAGCAGAAATTTACATAAGAAACAAGGAGCTGAATGTTAATCACCAAGACAATGGGGAAAATGTCTCCAGAGCATGTCAGAGACCTTCATGGCAGCCCCTCCCATCACAGGCCCAGAGGTCTAGGAGGAAAAAATGGTTTCCTGGGTCAGGTCCAGGGCCCCCTGCTGTGTGCAGCCTATGGACTCTAACCCAGCCACTCCAGCCATGGTTAAAAGGGGCCAAGGTTCAGCTCAGGCCATGGCTTCAGAGGGTGCAAGCCCCAAGCCTTGGTAGCTTCCATGTGGTGTTGGTCCTGTAGGTGCACAGAAGACAATAATTGAGGTTTGGGAATCTCCACCTAGATTTCAGAGGATGTATGGAAATGCCTGGATGTCTAGGCAGAAGTTTTCTGCAGGGGTGGAACCCTCATGGAGTACCTCTGTTAGGGCAGTGCAGAAGGGAAATGTGGGGTCAGAGCCCCCACATAGAGCCCCCACATAGAGTCCCCACTGGGGCACTGCCTAGTGGAGCTGTGAGAAGAGGGCCACCATCCTCCAGACCCCAGAATGGTAGATCCACTGACATCTTGCACTGTGTGCCCAGAAACGCTGAAGACATTCAACTCCAGCCGTGAAAGCAGTTGGGAGGGGGGTTGTACCCTGCAAAGTCATAGGGCGGAGCTGCCCAAGGCTGTGGGAGCCTTACCTCTTGCATCAGCATGACCTGCATGTGAGACATGGAGTCAAAGGAGATTATTTTGGAACTTTAAGCTTTAATGACTGACCTATTAGATTTCGGACTTGCATGGGGCCTGTAGCCCATTTGTTTTGGCCAATGTCTCCCATTTGGAACAGGTTTATTTTACCCAGTGCCTGTACCCCCATTGTATCTAGGAAATAGCTAACTTGCTTTTGATTTTACAGGCTTATAGACAGAAGAAACTTGCCTTGTCTTTGGACTTGGACTTTTGGGTTAATGCTAGAATGAGCTAAGACTTTGGGGGACTGTTGGAAAGGCATGATTGTGTTTTAAAATGTGAGGACATGAGATTTGGGAGGGGCCAGGGGCAGAATGATATGGTTTGGCTGTGTCCCTACCCAAATCTCATCTTGAGTTGTGGTTCCCATAATCTGTACATGTCATGGGAGGGACCCAGTGGGAGGTAATTGAATCATGGAGACAGTTACCCCCATGCTGTTCTTGTGATAGTGATCTCCCGAGATCTGATTCTTTTATAAGAGGCTTTTTCCCCCTTTGCTTGGCACCTCTCCTCCCTGCTGCCATGTGAAGGACATGTTTGCTTCCCTTTCTGTCATGATTATACATTTCCTGAGACCTCCCCAGCCCTACAGAACTGTGAGTCAACTAAACCTCTTTCCTTTATCAATTATCCAGTCTCAGGTATGTCTTTATTGGCAGCATGAGAACAGACTAATACAATGTCCCACACCAATGAAAGACTCTCTGACAGCAGGACCAGGATCTCAGCAGTTCTGCTCAATGATTATTGCCCAGGATGAGTTGGTGTGGTGTGAGGGGACTGAGTGGGTGATGGGACTGATTCCTACCACTTTGGAAATCAACCAAAAGTATCTTGCAACCATCTCTGATAGTATGTGCTTTAAGAGGGTGAGAATTAAAATGAACAGTTATCTTTAATGTTACCAACTCTGATGCTCCTCAGGACTGATCCAGTCCCTTAGGTCTGGCTTGCATCTGTCAGCCACAGAGTCTCAGCTGAAGCTCTCATGGAAGTTCTTGATCTTCTCCATCCACCCTGCCCTCCTGTTCTTGACTGCACAGCCAGCTGCCCTAACTTCTTCTTGGCAAGGCTAATAGGGCTCTGAGGAGTCTAGGTGAAATAAAACTGGAAGTTTTATCTTCCCAGAGAGCAGGGGTTCTCAAACCTTGCCCACGTGAGAACAACCCGGGTCATTCTGATTTAATAAATCTGGAACAGGGTTCACACCTTGGGGGAGTTTTAAAAGCTCCCATGTGATCCTAATGTGAAATCAGAAATGATAAGATAAAATGGAAATTTAAAAACTCCACGTTTGTATTGTCATTGACATTTTTAGAACTGGTTCTAAAAATTAAAGGTGCTATTGAGATGATAAAATGTAGAAATGATTTTCAAAATATACATTTAATGATTTTTTAAAATGTATTTTTTACAATCTGGTTTCTCCCCCTCCCATTCTATACTTGGCATTTTTGAGGTAGCCAATGGGCAAAGTGAAGGGACCCTGGAGCTGGATTTGGAGTCCAGCATTCCAGGAGAGCGAATTAGGGTGGTGTGTTAATGAGGGCAAGGCTAGCAGTAACAAGTAACACCCTAGCCTTTCCAGGTTTAAGGCAGGAGTCTGGTGCTCACAGACCTGTGCAGGCGGGAAGAGGTCAGGGTGGCCCTCCTCTGTGCAGTCAGGCGACTCCCCAGCTGTGTCTCCCAAGATGGCCTGGGGCCTCTCCTGCCGCCTACAGGGAGGGGAGGGGGAAGGAGGAAAAGGGCGGGGCTCCACAGGGAGGGCCTGGCTGGGTGGGGCCATGTGTGCTGTGCTCCATTGGCCAGAGCTCAGTCACGTGGCCCCTGCACGTGTGCAACGAAGGAGGCCGGGGTCCCAGCGGAGGGTGAGTCCCAGAGCCCCAGCCTGGGTAAACCGTGGGCACCGGGGGCCCTGCCAGCCGCTGTGCCTGCTGCCCTGGAGCTTACACTCCAGGCGGACGGGTCCCGCCGAGGCAGAGGGAGGCTCTGAAGGTGTGCGCTCTTTCTCTTCTTTTCTCCACAGATATCGCAAACGGCACCAGTTCAGGGGGGTACCGCCCGCCTCCCAGAACCAAAGAAGTCATCATCAATGGCCAGACCGTGAAACTTAAATACTGTTTCACCTGCAAGATTTTCCGGCCCCCTCGCGCCTCCCATTGCAGCCTTTGTGATAACTGCGTAGGTGAGTAGTGCCTGGGCGGAGCCTGGCGGGAGCCCGGGTCCTCCGGGTGGGTTTGCGCCTCTCCAACCCTGCGCCACGGAACACTCAGTAATGGTTAATATTTCAGCGCATTTGCATGTTGCCACTGATTGAGTTCACCGGGCCTAGAGTCACCAAATATCTTTTTTATTCTCTTTACACCCTGCACCGCCCTTGGCTGCGAGGGCCTCCCCCAGCACAGGCACGAGAATGGGGTCCTCTGTCTCCCCAGGCTGCCAGGTCAGCAGGCACGTGAAATAAAATCATGTCTCCCCCAGGCCTCTCGATTGCCACAGGTCTGGCCACACACCTACGGGAGGCACCCTTGTGCAGTTGTTTGTCCCAGCTCCTCAGAGGGGCTGGGGGCGTTTAATCCCCACTCCTTCTGGGGACAGGAAAAGAGGCAGGATCCGGGAGACCTCTCCTCCAGGGGCTGGAGTTAGGATCTGTATTCTTCCCGGAGACGACGAAGGCCTCCCCTCTCTGCCTCCCAACTTCCGCCAGGACAGGCTAGGGAAACAGGCAGAGGGAACTGAGAGCTCAGAGGTCTGCAGCTGTAAGGCTGGGCCCTACCACCGGCCCAGCATGGGCCTTCTGCAAGTGACCCGGGCCCAGCCCCTGGGATTATTTGGCAAGCGCCTGTTGTCACTGCAGACTGAGAGCTGCTCCCCACACCCACAGACCCTCTTCTCTCTGTGGCTGGAGCTGCCTAGAGATGAGGTTGGCAAGGAGATGGCAGAACACCCAAGTGACAGGAAGGGAAGCAAGGAGAGGACAAAAGCTTTGCCCCAGTGGGGAAGACTCATGGCCTGCCTCTAGCGGAAGTGACCAGGGGTATTCCTGGGAGAATAAGCAATGGAAACCCTGTTACCTCGTAACTGAAAGGATAGGAGTGCACCTCAGAACAAACCTAGCTTCCCTTAGTAACACAGCATTGATTGCCAGCACTCTTCGTGAGTCTTAGAATTTGTAGTCTCAATTCTTCTTGAGAAAAATAACATTTTATAATGTACGTCCTGCTGTGCAAAGCAGTCTTCCGTTTGTCTTAAATTAACTTTACCCTAACTTTAATAATCTACAGTTTGCCACAAAGCTCATGTTTTCTCTATCAGGCCTCGTCTTGGTTTTCTTAACATAGATAAATTACTTTCAGCCTTGCCTCCCCAACAGAACAGTATGGAATGGGTTCTGCTTCTCCCATGTAGGAAGTAGCTGATGGTTAAGAGCATGGGATCTGGCACTGCATGGCCTGGGTTCAAATACCAGCTGCGTGACAGGCAAGGTACTGAAACGCTGTGTGCCTCAGTTTCGTCATCTCTGCGGTGGGGTTGATAACTGCCTGCCGCATGGGATAGTGGAGAGAATAAATGAATGAACAGGTGGAAAGTGCCTGGCATGTAGCAGACGCTCTGTGATTGTTAGCTGCTAGTGCTCTTGTTACTCCTCCTCTCTTGATAGTTTTGATTGGCTTTCTCTGGACAATGTCTTGACCTTCCGTAGATGCAGTGGCCAAAACTACACCTAGTTCTCCATGTGGGGGCACACCAGGGTTTCTACAAGGTTTCTACAAGGGACTCTACAAATCAGCCTTTGTTTGATTACCAGTACCCTTCCTGGTGACACCAGCCCCAGTGTCCATTCCACACCTATCTTGGGGACAATTTAAGCTGAAGGAGCACAGCATCTTAAATATCTCTGGGGGAACCGTCTACCTGTAGGAGTTCTCAACACCCTTTCTTGGGTTGTAATTTTGACCTCCAGGCCTGTGATGGGACAGTGTGTGTCTTACACTTGTGCACATAAACTCTTCTGTCATTCTGCATGCCTTCTCCTGGAGGTCTAATGCCTTATTCTAGACTATATTTTGGTAGGTAGGGTGTTGTTATCTGTAAAACTAAAGGTCTTACTGGGCACTTCCTTCTCTTTATCATTTATAAAACTTTTTATTCATTTCTAAACACACCCAATTTGTCCACTCATTTATCCTCTGTTTCTTGTCTCTAGGCTAGATTTTTTTTTTTTTTTTTTTTTTTTTTTTTTTTTTTTGTGATGGAGTCTTGCTCTGTCGTCCAGGCTGGAGTGCAGTGGCATGATCTCAGCTCATTGCAACCTCCACCTCCCGGATTCAAACAATTCTCCTGCCCCAGCCTCCCGAGTAGCTGGACTACAGGCGTATGTCACCCTGCCCAGCTAATTTTTTTGTATTTTTCTTAGAGACGAGGTTTCACCATGTTGGCCAGGCTGGTCTTGAACTGGCCTCAAGTGATCCACCTGCCTCGGCCTCCTGAAGTGCTGGGATTACAGATGTGAGCCACTGCTCCCGGCCTAGGCTAGATTTTTAATCACAGTCAAAATTTTCTTCTCAATCTACTGTGACTTACTATTTTAAAATTCCTTTTGGATTATTATCAGACACTGCTCTGAAAGTTCATATAATCACATTTGTTCCCTCCCATTGCCCACAGGTGTATGTGTCCCTTAAAGAACCCTGATGAATGAGATGTAAAAGCCCCTTATCACAGCTGTGCCTTTCCCCAGTGACGGTGTACTTCTGCATGTGTGAGTGTTTCCAGTATGATCCTCTCCTGTGCACTCTACCAGCCGTGAACCTAGGAGCCACCAGGCTATAATAGGCCAGGAGCCAGGCCTCCACCTTTCTGGTAAATCAAAGTCACGGTGGCCACCCAGTATCCACAACCGAACATGGTGGTGGTCTATGTATGGGAGACCCAGAACAGGAAAGAGAAAGGGAAAGGAGAGGAAGTGGGGAAGTTTGGGGCAGGATCTAGAGGAGGAAGACTGGAACCCAGGAGCACACCGCAAGCCGCGGCCTCTGAGTGGTGCTCAGGGCCAGCTCCGTGGGGGACAGGTGAAGAAGTAGCATATGAGTGATCTAAAATAAAGCTGCCCACAGGGCTCCTCAAAACACCACCCAGTGATTGAAAACTGCATAGCTTCGGTTTTCCGGTTAATTATGGGACACTGGGGCCTTTGGTTGACTGATGAGCAGGACAGTAGTTTGGACATTCTGCATTCAGGAAAATAGAGTGGAAGGCAAATGTCTCCCACTGAGAAGTGTAATTGCAGAGTTGGCCATGATCTTATTTTTAGATGGAAAGTTTTCACTGAAAGAATTCTTTTTGCAGCAAGAGAAGTAGCACAGTGGTATGCTGAAAGCTGAGGTGGGAACTTGTGGCTTCCCTTACCTTGTAACGAGCAGGTTTGAGCTGGTCCTTCCCAAGCACAGTAAATAAATGTCACTTTGCATGGGAGAGGAGAGAGGAAAAATGCAGCTTCCCAGGCCGTTCAGAAGAGCAGTTTTCTTTGTTAAATAAGTTTGAAAGTCATAGGGGCCTTTTTAGTTGAGGACTGAGAAAGAGCTTTCTCTGGTCAAATATAGAGTTAGTTGGCAGGCCCCAGTGGTTGGGGACCTGGCTCTGAGAACACACAGGCCAGGGCTGAATCCTGGTCCTCTCATTGAGTAATACTGGAACCTGGCAAGTTGTCTGAACGCTCCCAGCTGTTACCACATCTGTAAAATGGATGTGATCCTAGTGCTACCCCCTCGGTTTCTTTTGAAGATTAACTGAGATAGTGCCCACCACAGCACCCAGCACAGACAGACCTGCGGCACACTGAGGGGCCAGTAAGCGCGTGGCTCTGGCCATTGATGGTCTCATCAGTGATGGGAATGCCACCATCGGTGCTCCCAAGTAACTGATTACAACAAGAAGCGTCTTCACAAAGTAGTAGGAATCGCCTTGTTTCTCTGTAATCTGGAAGGATTTAGATGATCTGCCGTGATCGACGTGAATGTATTTTCTGTCTCTCTCTGACTTTGTCCCTGCTGCCTGTTTCCGTCTGTCTCTTTCTCTGAATCCTTGACTGTCTCTCTGGTTCTCTGTGAGTCTTGCCATCGCGTTCCTTCTGCACACGTGGAACGCAGCATTTCGGGTTGTTTATTTATCCAGGCGGGCTTTGAGGTTACGGAATATTTTTAAACAACCAACAGCTGGGGCCAGGGAGCCACCTCTTCTCTCTCGGATCCTCATATCCCTCAAATCATTAAAGCGAGAGAAACTGAAGGAGCTGAAGAGGCAAAGCATGGGCCTGTGAGACCCTCTCGGGCTCACTATGTATGTTTTAAAGCCCCAGGTGCATGCTGCCCTCGTTTTTCTGATGGGGTAGGCCCTATGAGGGATGTCTGTCGTTTGGTGGGCCCTAGTCCAGCGTCGGAATTGCCAGCAGCTTTCGCTGGAATGCGTATTTTTAGTACAGCCTAAACCTGTAATAAAAAGGGATTTACATGTACTAGATTTTAATCACATACTGTGGACAAACTAATAAGAAAGTTTGCTAGACAGTAAGATGAAACACTGCCAGCATTTTTGCAAACCGGTTATACAAGAGTCTGCCTAACTCTGGCCAGACCCAGGCAGCTTAGTCTAGAGGTTCAGAGGTGGCCTCTGGAGGCAGCTGCAGCCTGGGTCCCAGCCCTGCTGTCCTGTGTGGGCACTGGGACTGTCTCTGCACCTGAGATGCCACATCTGGAAGGGCTGTGAAGACGAAGGAAGTAGTACATGGAGCCCTCAGGCCATGCCAGCCCCTGGGGGGCACCGAGCAGACCAGCCTCCTCCCACATCCAGGACATGGCCTGGTCCCTTGTTTTCTGTCCTGTCATTTTTGGTGTGGGTGCCACAAAGAACCTCCAGGCGCCCTCTGCAGGGACTCAGTGTCCAGTCGCTTTTATTTCTGGCAGGGCTTTCCCCTGCCTCTTTTAAATCCTTACAGGCTCTCTTTCTCATTCCCTCGCCTCTTTTTGGCTGTGCTCTTCCTCTCCCGGGCACTTGACTGCATCTTACTGCACACTCTGCCTTCTGTCCCACAGTGTCTGCCCCTTGTTGCTCTCACTGCTTCCTCTGTGTGTGAGTCTGAACTCAGACTGCAGATACCTTGTGTGTTGCATACACTCTGCTGTGCGCTGCCCTCAGGAACCCAGCCACTGCTTCACAGTTGTACATTAAGAGTTTGGACATGGCAGAGATTCGGCCCTGCAGCTGCCTTCTGGTGTGGATTAGCACTTGGGAATGCCTTTGTAACTATTTGGGTATGATGAGGGGGCTATTAGTTTCTCATAGGAAAGCAGGTCATTGGAGGGGAGTGGAGGGAGCTGAGATTCGTATCCTTGTTGGAACCAAAACAAACAGGACTTTACTGATTCTCCTGGTTTCCGCTATCTCTTCATTTCACCAACATTGAATAAGCATCTATGTGTTAAGTGCTGTGACAATAACTAAGTATGTGAAAATATGAGCCAGTCCCCAGGGATCATTATTAAGAGCAGACCAAGGAGAACTCAAGGCAGACAGTATTGTATTTATCATATTACACAGGTTAAAGAGTAATTTTATATTGGTTAAGAGTAGAATTAAATTACCAACATTTATGCACCAAATAACATTGCATCAAAATATATAAAGTAAAGGTTGTTAGAAAATGCAAAGGTAATTTGTTACATAATGCTAGTGAGAAATAATAGCATACATCTGTTTTTCATGGCTCAGGTCAACAAACTGTAAGTAGAGTATGCCAGTGTATAAGTATAATAAATGTATGTTGAACTTCGTTTTTACAAAGTGTACTTACCATGTTCAACCATTCATGGAACATTTACAAAAATTAATCATATTAAGCCCAAAACACTTTCCAGCGTTCTAAAGGCAGATATCACACTGAAAATGTCATCTGATGAAACAATAAAACTAGAAATGAATCACAAAGATAGAAATGTACAAACATACCTAATTGTAATGCTTTTAAAAAAAACTTTAAAAAACTTTTATAAATCTTTGTAAAGAAGCTTTTTAAAGAGGCTTTTCATAAATCTTGGGTGACAGAAACTTCAAAACTGCAGTTGTAAAATATTTAGAAAATGGCAGTAAGAACAATGCAAAAGAAAACCATGCCATTCAGAATTCTACATTTTAAACATGAGAAATAGTTAATCTAAGCAGAAGAGGAATGAACCAGAAGACTGTCGGGTTGCCGGTAGAATCAACAAGGAGGCTGGAGAATGAGGCTCAGAAACCAGGAACAGTGGAGGAGGCTGGGCAGCCCCGCACGGCCAGTTGCATCTGCAGCAGGATGTTGCAGGAGGCAAGTACCACAGGTAGGACGTTTGCGGCACCACCACTGAGTTCCCTCTGCTGCAGCTCTCGACGAAACTCTGACTGTCTTCAAAGACCACAACTCCGGATTCAGACACCTGGGTGGGAGCCCTTGGCCTGTTTTGTTTCCACGCCCAAGCAGACAGCCAGGCGAAGGTGGCGACTGCCCCACACTCAGCATCTATAATGAGGATGGGAGGATGGGGCCCTGCCTCCCACCTATTTTGGGGTTCTCCCCAAACAGGAAGTTTACTTTAATGGTGGATGGCCAATGAAATAAAATACTTTAAAAAGTCTAGTACAAAAAATAAACTGAACTTAGAAGCAAATAAATGAACAAAGCATCCATCTCCAGAAGGCAGAAAAAGAGCAGCAAATAAACTTAAGGGAAACCATAAGAAAACAATGACTTAGAAAACAGCAACCAATAGGTTGCCAAATCTAATTCTTTGGAGAACAACCAACCAAGGCATTAACGTCTGGTAAGACAAAGAAATTAACAAAGTGCAAGTAACAGATTCAAATGAAACAAATATAGGTGAGATGGTTTTCTATAATTATTGAGAAATATATTATTTTGCCGTTGTGTTAACTCTATGCCAATTGATTTGAAAAATCTCAGTGAAACATGATTGTATAGGAAAATGGGCCAAGGAGTGAGTAGAAAACTGGAATTGATTACTAGCCATGAAAAACTGAAAAGTTTTATGAAGAACCATGTGAGAAAGGTGCTGGGCCCAGACAGCTTACTTCCTATGTTCTGAGTAGTGTCTGAGAGCTTCGGAAAGGTTGAATGGTTTTTCAGTTCATTTCACCAAAATAGTATAACCCTAACACCAAAACCTTACAAAAATAACATGCAGAATAAAACCCCCACCCTTATTTATAAACATTACAACAAGCCAACGTGAAGACATAGCAAACTTAATCTACCAGTATAATAAAGAATTAGTCATGACATGGAAGGATGTATTCCAGGAATGTGATTTTTTAATGTTAATAAAACTATTAGTATATCAATAGGTCAAAAGATAAAAGGTATATGTGATCATGATAATAGATAATAAAAAGGGATTTGATAAAATGCGACATTTGTTTTGTATTTTTTGTGACAGTCTTGCTCTGTCACCCAGGCTGGAGTGCAGCTCACTGCAACCTCCGCCTCCCAGATTCAAGTGATTCTCCTGCCTCAGCCTCCCGAGTAGCTGGGATTACAGGTGTGCACCACCACGCCTGGCTAATTTTTGTGTTTTTAGTAAAGATGGGGTTTCATTATGTTGGCCAGGCTGGTCTTGAACTACTGACCTCAAGTGATTGGCCCACCTTGACATCCCAAAGTGTTGGGATTACAGGCGTGAGCCACCGCACCTGGCCAAGACATTCATTTGTAGCTATAGAACTCAGTGTATCCAGATTGGAAGGTGTGGTAGGCAGAATTCTGGCCCCCATGACTGCCCCTTCCCCTCACACCCCCCGGGTTGCTCCAATGGTTATGTCACGTTGCTTGGCAAAAGGGACTTTGTAGATGTCATAAAAGGTGACTAATCAGCTGACTTGAGAGAGTTTATCCTGGATTATCCAAGGGGCCCAGTGTAATTCCAAGAGCCCTCAAGAGCAGAGCTGGAGAGATGCCGCGCAGGAGGCCTGGGTGCCGTTTCGGAGCAGGATGGAAGGCGGTGAATCCCGCCTCCAGCATGGAGCTCGGGAGAGGCCCTGACTGCAGATGGAGAGGCTGCCCTGGCCGCAGCGCACGGGGCTCCTGACCCACAAAAATCGCGAGATAATGAGTTCATGTTGTTTGAAAGTCCGTCATTTCTGGTAATTTGCTATATAAAACTATTGCTATACGATTAAAAACTAATACAGAAGAATATTTCTTTAACATTATGTTAAAAAGGAAAAAAGCTAACATTTTCTTTATAGCAAAACACTGCCATGATTTACATTAAAATTAGGAACAAATTAGGATGTCTAGTATCATTACTAATATTTTACAATATCTTTTCTAATTAATGTGGTAATGTAGGAAAATAAACACAAATATATAACTATCAAAAAAGAAGAAACAAAATCACCATATTTTGTAGCTGACAAGAGCAATAATAACAGTACCAACAAACATTAGAACTAGTTTTTTTATGTTTAGTAGGTTTATCAGTTACCTAATAAATACATTAAAATAGCATACTATGTATCAGTTAGGAATTGTAATAAAAATCAAGACATGTACTCTCCACAAATTTATTTAAATTTAATGAATTATGAGTCGGGGGGCAAGATAAAATAGCTGTGAAATGTAATTAGAAGAATATACAAACAACAAACAATAACATTTCAAACCTAGAACGATGCAAGGAAACATGCACTATTTGATATTATGAGGTCCTGTGAAGTCCAAAGATGAGTTACAGAAAGTGACTTCAGGGCCCATGCACATGCTTTCTGTGTGTATGTGCATGTGTGTAAGTGATTTCTTCATTGCCCATTTTTGTATTTTCCACATCTCCAAAGTGACCATTAAAATGCACCATTCTTGGTAGGCAGCGTCTTCATTCTGGCTGGGGAAGGCAGAGATAAAGAATGCATTCAGGGCTGGGCGCGGTGGCTCACGCCTGTAATCCCAGCACTTTGGGAGGCCGAGGCGGGCAGATCACAAGGTCAAGAGATCAAGACCATCCTGGCCAATATGGTGAAACCGCGTCTCTACTAAAAATACAAAAATTGGCTGGGCATGGTAGCACACCCCTGTAATCCCAGCTACTAGGGAGGCTTAGGCAGGAGAATTGCTTGAACCCGGGAGGCTCGAGGTTGCAGTGAGCCAAGATTGTGCCACTGCACTCCAGCCTGGGGACAGAGCGAGATTCTGTCTCAAAAAAAAAAAAAAATGCATTCAGGCTGGTCATGGTGGCTTACGCCTGTAATCCCAGCACTTTGGGAGGTCAAGGTGGGCCAGTCACTTGAGGTCAGGTGTTCGAAACCAGCCTGGCCAACATGGTGAAACCCCGTCTCTACTAAAAATCCAAAAATTAGCACCTGTAATCCCAGCTACTAGGAAGGCTGAGGCAGGAGAATCGCTTGAACCTGGGAGGCAGAGGTTGCAGTGAGCCGAGATGGCACCACTGCACTCCAGCCTGGGCAACAGAGCAAGACTCCGTTTCAAAAAAAAAAAAAAAAAAACGCATTCAGTGCCACCGGGAGCTGTGTGCAGGTTCTGGGAGAGCGCAGATTCCCCAGTTTGTCCCTATGCTGAGTTGCCAAGGCTAAATAGGAGTTACAGTGTATAGACTACCTGGGGTACTGAACGGTAGGACAGAAGCTCAGGGATGTTCAGGGCAGGCAGGGCATCCAGCCTGGCGGGGTGTGTGAAAGTGTCAGGAAGGCCGGGCTCCTGAGCATGCAGGGAGCTGCTTACTCTTCACCCGCCATGAGGATGCTTCCTCTGAGCTTTCTGGAGTGCTACGTACCCAGGCTGGGTTCTGCTGCTGCTGAGGGCACCAGCCCCTTCGTGCTAGCCTGTCAGTTTTGTCTTAGTGTCTGGAGTTTAGTCGTTTCTTTGTGGTTTAAGCAACAGGTCCTGTAACTAAACTTAAAAATCAATCAAACAATCTAATCCATGCTTTCGGGTCCAAGCCACCAGTCATGTCTGCACCCTTTGCTAGTCACTGAGCTCTCTGGAAAGTACCTGCACACCCCAGACCGTGGGGCCATCGTCCCCCTGGGTGTCTGAAGTGGATGTTGCCGTGGCTTACTGCAGGCTGGGACGTCCACAGTGCTTCATGGCAGTGCCAGGGCCCAGGGCTGGACATGGAGAGTCAGGTGAGGAATCCAGCCATCTCTGTGGAACGCTTTGTGAAGCAAGTGTTTACAATGAATCCAGAAGCACTTATGGAGTGGCTGCTATGTGCACGTAGAGGGCAAAGAAATTTCACACAGGTTCGTTCCCTGCCCTTAACGAGTTTTCCACGTAGTTATGAAAAGATAACTAACATCATAAAGAAGTACTTGACAAGGTCGTAGCACTCAGGATGGTCATTTTAGACCAATTCCCGTAAAGGGGAGAAATGAGAGAAAAGGCTGAAGAAATTAGCTGGCAGCCACACTGAGAGGCCCTTGGATGCCCATCTAGGAAAGAGGGACTTGACTCAGCTGCTGGAGCACGATGCTTGAACAGGAGATTGAGAGGGCTGGAATTCAGCCCTAGGAGGACTGATCTGGCATCCGAGTATAAAGTGAGCTGATGACAGGTAGTAGGCAGCTGTTGTCTGATGATGCCGTATTACAAGCACCCTCAAAAACCTCTGTGGCCCTTAACAAGCAGCATTTCTTTTTCTCGTGTGTCTGTGGGACATCTGGGGCAGCTCTGCGGATTAGGCAAGGCTCGGCCCCGGGCGTTGGTTCAGGTTCAGGTCTCCTCAAATGTTTTTCCAGGACCCAGGCTGAAGGGAGGGCAGCTACCTGTGGTACTTACTGGCCGCCATGGCCTAGAGCTGAGACATGCAGTATCCCTTACAACCTCTGCCTGTGGCGAAGACTCCATTGTCCAAGGAAGGCACACAACATGTCAGTGGGACAGGGAAGGGCACGCCACCTCAAGAGGGAGAGAAGTGAATACATTTGGCTCTCTGTATTCATGGGTTCCACATCCATGGATTCAACCAACCTCGAATCAAATATACTAAGAGAAAAAATTATGTCTGTACTGAATGGGTACAGGGGAGGCTGAGGCATGCAGATGGCTTGAGCCCAGGAGTTCAAGACCAGCCTGGGCAACATGGCAAAACTCCATCTCTACAAAAAATACAAAAATTAGCTAGGCGTGGTGGCGGGTGCCTGTAAGCCCAACTACCCAGGAGGCTGAGGCAGGTGGATCACCTGAACCAGGGAGATTGAGGCTACAGTGAACCTTGATCACGCCTCTGCGCTCCAGCCTGGGTGATGGAGTGAAAGCCTGTCTTAAAAAAAAAAAAAAAAAAAAGTAATCTAGAGTTGACCTGAAGGATACTGGAGGCTATGCATAGGCTATATGCAAACACTACTCCATTTCTTAGCAGGGATTTGAGCATCTGTGGGTTTCGATATCTGAGGGAGGTCCTGGAAGCAATCCCCCTTGGATACGGAGGGATGACTGTGTTTACTAGAACAATACAGCCTCTCACATGAGGGGAGACTTGAAGACCCAAGACCAGTTATTTTCTAAGAAGCAGTTGTGTATTTGTTACTCTTTTTTTTTTTTTGAGACGGATTCTTGCTCTGTTGCCCAGGCTGGAGTGCAGTGGCACGATCTCGGCTGCAACCTCCGCCTCCCGGGTTCAAGCAATTCTCCTGCCTCAGCCTCCAAAGTAGCTGGGACTACAGGCACGTGTCACCACACCCGGCTAATTTTTGTAATTTTAGTAGAGACGGTGTTTCACCATATTGGTCAGGCTGGTCTCGAACTCCTGACCTCAGGTGATCCACCTGCCTCGGCCTCCCAAAATGCTGGGATTACAGGTGTGAGCCACCATGCCCAGCCCTACACAGTGCCTTGCTAGGTGCGCAGTAATCTGTTGTTGACATGAGTTGCCCAGAATTGAAATTGGCTTCCAGCAATGGATATTGGAGTTAGGGAAGCAGAAGATGAAACATACCTTACCAGCCCTGAAGTTTCTTCTTCCAAGATATTTGTGGCTGTGTCAGCTGATCCAGCTGCTCTCTGTTGAGTGTTGGCAATAAACGTTTCACCAAATTCCACCCACTATTTGTAGGAGTTGGGCAGAACTGAGCTGTTAAAGCCTAGAAACTTTGATAGTGAATAATAACCCATGTGCCTTAGTTTTGAAAGCTTAATATGTGTTTGCACATTTTTTAAAAAAGAGCTATGAAATAATTTGGTTTGCTGGAACAGGTTAAGTTTTATTTTGTTTTAAAAAAGGTTGAAAAGTATTTTAAATAAAAGACTAATTGAAATGGAAAGATTATATTTTGGGAGAAGCAAGAAGAAAGTGTATTTTAAAATCCAGTAATGTGCCTTTGGAAATGTAATGATTATCTTTTTTTAATTAAATAAGTGAAATGAATACTTAGAAACTATTTGTACTAAGAGAGCTCTTCCATTTTCATAATACCATCCTTTATTTATGTATGGATTCTTACATTTGGAGGAAGTCTTCCCTGTGTTACCAAGCAATGGGCTGGAAAGTGTCACCCCCATTTGCTGTGGAACTCAGGTTCAGAGAGGGCAGAGACTTGACTCCGATCAGACAGCAAGGTAAGAACTGGAAGGCAGCCTCCCAGGCCCTGTGTGAAGGTTCATAACGGTTCATGGACTTAGAGCAGACAGACACTCAGTGGGCCTGAAAGCGGGCAAGCAGCAGGTGACAAGTCAGATTTTAACATGTGAGGAAGGCCATGACTTCTACCCCAGCCCAGCAGGAACGCTGTAGTATGTCCAACAATTGGTGTCAACCGTGAATGAGACTCTGCGTGGGCACAGCGGGTGGGGGGTAGGGGGCACGCAGGAGAGGAGAGGAGGATGAATCACATGTGGTCACCAGCCTATAAAGGCTTTTGAAGACTCCAGGAGGAGTAGAGAAGGTAACCATCTGTTATAACCCAGCTGAGCCCAGGCAAAGTCATAAATAAGCTCAACTTGCTAGTTCTTCCCCCAGGATTATCATGAAGTTAGCAAGATATATATGCTGAGTACTTTACGTGTTTAAAACTTCTGTCATATGTGTATATGAAGATCGCATTACTCTCCTGAAATTATACTACCTGCACATTTTAGTTTTCAGGATAACACAGGTCTCTATGCCTCAGACCGGGCATTTTCCCCTTCACGGTTCCCATGAGCCCCTTAAGATCTGAGGAGAGTCTGGAAGCGGTGGCTCATGCCTGTAATCCAAGCACTTTGGGAGGCCGAGGTGGGTGGATCAGCTGAGGTCAGGAGTTTGAGACTAGCCATGGCCAACATGGTAAAACCCTGTGTCTACTAAAAATACAAAAATTAGCTGGGCATGGTGGTGGCTGCCTGTAATCCCAGCTACTCTGGAGGCTGAGGCAGGAGAATTGCTTGAACCTGGGAGGTGGAGGTTACAGTGAGCAGAGATCGCGCCACTGCATTCCAACCTGGGGGACAAGAGCAAAACTCCATCTCAAAAAAAAGAAAAAAGAAAAATCTGAGGAGAGAGTTTAATGAGGTGAGCTGCATGCTTGGATTAGAAGATGCCAGAAGTATGATGGAATGCAGCAACTTGGATGGAAACGTCCAGTGGTCCGCCCCATGGCCTCGAGAGAATGAGTTCACCAAGAAGCCGGGTGGGTGATCAGTTGCTGTGAGGGCAGTCAGAGCAGGCTCATGGCCCTGGTGCAGAAGTGCAGCTTGGGACCCCGTCACCTCCCAGGGCATAGTCTCACCCGCGGTCAAGAACTTTGCTTCTAGGGTTTGTTTAGAGCAGGGATTCCTGACCTGGGTGACATGAATGGAATTCAGGGGTCCACGAACTTGGAGAGGAAAACAGTTACATTTTTATTTCCACTAACGTCTAAATGAAATTGAATATTTCCTTTAATGAATATGGGAAACACATCACACTAGTGGTGTTTGTCACCACTAGAAACTGCAGCTATTTTATATGGTGTCATGGTTATTGCAGATAGCTCAGCATAACATTTACACTTGCCACTACTTCAAAATTGTGGAAGATGATAAACCATAGATCTTACTAGTTAGCATATTCGAAGTATGTATTTTTCTATATCACGATGTCGAAATTATGTTAGAAACATCGTCTTTATTATTGCTTTCTTTTGTCATCTCACATATTTATGTATTTAGAAACATGCTGGGAAGGGGTTCACGGGCCTCAGCGGAATGCTGAGGGCTTCATCACACACACAAGAAATCTCAGAGTCCCTGGTTCACTCTTGTTGAGGCTCTTAAATTGTTAGAAAATAGACTCCCTAAGATGACAAGTCACATTATCTCTCCACCCAACCAAGGAAGGGGTTTGTGTAGATTTTTTTCAAATAGTATACAAAACCATTTCTTTCAAGAATGCCGCATTTAAAGGCTCTTTTTTTAAAACAAACAAACAAACAAACCAACTACAGTAGGCTCCTTCCGCTTCCTCTCTCTCTTCCTCTTTTCCTCTCTCAACCCAAACACAGTTGTGCAGCATGCAGTTTCCTGAGGGTAGGGAGGAAGGACCACCTACAGTGTGGCCTGCCTGGCCTGGGGTTTTCTGTGAGCAAAGGATGTTTAACCCTTTCATTGCAAAGAAGCAAGAGAAAGGGCAGTGGCAGGGTGAGGTCTGTGCAGGTGCCCTCTGCCCTTTCGTCTGGGTAAACAGAAACCATCTTCATGGCTGTTTAAACGTTGGAGAGCCTTTGTTCCCTCTCGTTGTCCATACTTTCTTCAGTCCCTTTATGCTACCGAGAAATATTGGGAAGAAAAGAACCCTCAGTGTAGTTAAAGAGATTAAAACCTGTTCACAAGAGAGAATAGAATATTGACAGTGCCGTCTTAAATTTGAAGCAGCGATTCTTTCCAAGCTCCGCATGGGCTTTCTGAGGGCTTGTATCACATCCATTTCTATTGAAAGTTGACAGAAACAAGATCGTATTGCACAATGTCTTCTTGGCTCTCACAAGTTAAATTCCTAACAATGCGATGTGCCATTATATGATAAAAGTAACCAGTGTCTACCTGGTTTGTGCCTGAAAATCCACTGCTTATCACTACTGATTTGTGGGTTTGTTTTTCACCAACGAATTGAAAACATGCATTTTTTTCCACCTTTGCTCATGCTGACACTTCGCTGGAGGACAGGAAGTCACGCTGTGCGTGCATGGATTTGCCGTCATGCTGTATGTGCTCAGGGGGCGTCCTCAGAGCTGTACCCAGAGCGAGAAGCACGTCATTCATTCACCCTACTTCAGAAATATCCACTGACGGCCGATTATATGGGCTCTGTGCTCGGGAGCTCTGGGAGACAGTGGTGAATGTGGTCAACATGGCCCTGCCTGCAAAGAGCTTAGAGATACCCACCGAGAAGCACAGGTGGATTAGGAGGCACCGGTGGTACAGGGAGGTGAGTGACACAACGGCAAAGTCCAGCTCACATGGGAGCATACGGGAAAGATGCCCAACCTGGAGGAAGCAGCGTCCCATCTGGGCTGAGCTCTGGTCAGCCAGGCACAGAGAGGAGAGCTAGCAAGAAGATGCTGCTGTGCAAGTGGGAGGATGCCTGTGCTGAGCCCGGGCAGGAGAAGATGGGCCTGCCCGAGGGACCAGAGGTGTGGCTGACGTGGAGACTCAGGTCAGAGTGAGTCAGTGTGGCAGAGAGGGCTGCAACAGGCCAGGGGGTAGGCAGGCACCTTATAAGCCACGCAAAAGAGTTTTGATCTTATCTGAGGACAAGAGACAAAAGTGGCCTTATCAAATGCATGCTTCAAAAAGTGTCCTCTGTCTCTCCAGCAGAGAACAAACTGGATGGTGGCACGACAGAGCCAAGGAGACGAGAGGGGGGGCTGTCCCCACAGGGCGGGACAGGGCACTAGAGTCCAGGCCAGGGCAGTGGCCAAGGAGACAGAAAGATGTGGATGATTCCAGAAAAATTTCAGCCAAAGAACTGACAGGACTTGATACTTCATTAAATTCCTGGAGTTGGGGCAAAGGAGAGTGCTTGACCCCTCTGGTTCCTGAGAGCATGGTTTTTTCCCCATGCTACCAAGTAATGCTTTTAAGGAAAAGTAGAGTTCACATATTTTAAGTGGATCATGGCTTGGTGACCTGAGTCTGTAAAGTATGTAATTCAGTGTAACTACCTGGACCCCTTGGGTTCTTGGTCCAGAAGTTGATCTGTGGCAGCCTAAAATAAACATGAGGACCTCGAAACAGTGGGATCAGCTCCAAAGAGCCAGAGCTGAGCACTGCCTGTGTCAAAAGGTGCGCACCTGGAGGGAAAGCGAGAGGTGGGAAATGGATGTAGCAGCAATGGCACTGGACAGGAGAGGCCTTAGAAGGAGCCGAGGGCAGCTTGCACTGGGCAGAGAAGTCCACGGCTGGCCCTGAAGGAGAAGCTGCTTTGTGTAGGGTGATGGCCACTCCAGGAACAGCTGAGGATGATTGCCAGGGCACTCAGGATGCTCCCTTTATCCAGAATGTCTTCCCATCATCATCTCTCTCTTTTGCCCGGTGATCTACAATTTACAAAGCAACGTCATAAAGAGCAGGAAGAGTTTTGTGTTGAGTGAGGTAGGTTGCTCGAGGGTCTTAAATAAGAAGTGCCATCATGTGCCACAAGTGGGGAGTCCATCTTCCATTCTGCTCTGAGCAGTGAGTGTCTTTCCCTGTCTTGTGGGGTCACAGAATAGGGACCAGAGGAGGTGGCCGGGCACTGAGCTTGCAGATGGTGGCCCAAGGAGTAAGCAAGCCCTTCAGGAGAGCCGGTGGACAGCAATGGAATGCTTGAAGGGGCTCTGTGCAGGGGCTGAAGCCAGTGGAGTTGGAAGAAGAGCCCAAAGTGTCAAGGGGAACAAGCAGTGGGACCCAGAGGCAGATCCAGCCTGGATCAGGGTCTGCTCACCCAGGCCTGCCTTAAAGTAGCAACAACTCCTTGGGGACAAAGAACTGGGGAGTAATCTCACAACATACTTTTTGGAAATTTTGCCTCTGACTTTGTGGGGTGAATCATTGAAGTTCATCACAGAGGGGGCTGCAGGCCATCCCAGGGGAGTCCTTTGTTGGCATCATAGAGGCCCACGCAGTGACCCCCAACCACCTTAAATATTCACAGACAGCTGAACTGGGCAGATCCCACCCACGACCTGAGTCAAGAATCTACACCTGGGCTGGGCGCAGTGGCTCACACCTGTAATCCCAGCACTTTGGGAGGCCGAGGCAGGCGGATCATGAGGTCGGGAGATCAAGACCACGGTGAAACCTCGTCTCTACTAAAAATACAAAAAATTAGTCAGGCGCGGTGGCAGGTGCCTGTGGTCCCAGCTACTCGGGAGGCTGAGGCAGGAGAATAGCGTGAACCCGGGAGGCGGAGCTTGCAGTGAGCCGAGATCAGGCCACTGCACTCCAGCCTGGGTGACAGAGCAAGACTCCGTCTCAAAAAAATAAAAATAAAAAAGAATCTACACCTGAAGTAGAAACTAACTACCCTTCTGCCATGAAGTTCTGCAGAGCCTCCTTTTATCTCAACAGGCTCCACATTTCAGGTTCCTGTCGGTCACTCCTGAGAGTCTCAACAGCCCCTGGAGGTCAGGATGGAGGGAGGGGCTACACATTCCAAGAAGGAGAGGCAGCGTTGGCCCACAGAGCGGCCTTGGTCTCAATGTTGGACTTGGAGGACTGGAGCTTGTGGACAGACCCATGTTGTCCGAGCTCTCATCCTGAATGCAGAAAGCCAGAATGCAGATTTGTTCATTTTCAACAGATGACTGCAGGACCAACGTTGTCACAGGGGCCAGCATTCTCTCACCAGGCAAAGCCAGCCGCTTCTCTGCCTGGTATCAAGCTGCCTGGGCAGCCAATTCGTAATCAGAGTGCCAATTTATAAGTGTAGAATGAGAAATAGAACTGCCACAGGAAGCAGAATCACTGCCTGGTCGGCCCTGTGGGACTTTCTGGAGACTTCTGTCAAATATGCTCGTGTAAGACTGGGAGCCATGAATAAATGCACATTTTTGTTTGTTTTTGTTTTTGTTTTGTTTTTTGAGACAGGGTCCTGCTCTGTCTGCTGGAGTGCTGTGATGCAATCTCCACCTCCCGGGTTCAAGCCATCCTTCTGCCTCAGCCTCCCCGAGTAGCTGGGGCTATAGGCACGCGCCACCATGCCCAGCTAATTTTTGTATTTTTAGTAGAGACAGGGTTTCACCATATTGGCCAGGTTGGTCTCAAACTCCTGACCTCAGGTGATCTGCCCACCTCGGCCTCCCAAAGTGCTGGGATTACAGTCATGAGCCCCCGCGCCTGGCCAATATGTGTACTTTTAAAAAGTGCTTTGATAGAGGATTCTGATGTAAAATAATGCGTCTAACGTAAATTTTTTAAGGTATCACGTCTTTTTTATTCTGTGCATTTATTTAGAAACTGTTTATGACAAAAGAGTGAGATTACATGTCTAATACAGTTTTTTGGAGAGAGCATCCCTGGCCAATAGGAAAGCTTCAACAACAGAATTTCTGGGGCCTCCCGGGCACATTTTCATCCTGTTCTGGCTTTGTCAGTGATACTCAACTGCAGTGTCAGTGCCCAGTGCAAAGAGACCTTCTTCCAAGGCAAAGGTAGATGTGTGCCTGCAGGTTGGAGACGATCCAGCAAGGGAGGGTGGACTCTGGCCAAGTGCTCACCTTATTTCTGCCTGGAATTGTCAAACTGCAACTTAGCTTGAAAAATATATTTCTTCCATACCCAGAAAAGCCACAAGCGATTGCTTCATGAAAGTCTGTCTCTGTTCATCTGACTTTCCCTGTTTGTGCATCTTTTTGACCGGCTCCGTCCCTTTTGTGTGTGTGTGGTTCTTGGCTTTGTGGCTCTGACGAGTGTGTGTTTATACCTGTGTCTTGCTCCTTTTGCCTTCCGGAGTCTCTCTTTCTGCCAGGCTTATGTCTCTAGCTCAGACCTCTCCTCAGAGCTCCAGACATGCATATGCAGCTTCCCGCTGGACATGTCCACTTGGGGAGATAAAAGCACCCCAAATCATCTTTCCCCAGTGACCCCCCACCTTGCTGAGGGCCAGCCCCATTCACAGGCTACACAGACGTGAGGGTCCTACCGACTCCTTTCTCTGCCACACCCTGCTCACCTAATCCATCACCAGGCTCTGTACAGTTTGCTTACTAGGTGGATCCCAGCTTAAACCACTTCATCCCTTTCCTTCTGTGCACTGCCTCGGCCAGCTGCAAGCCGCCATCATCTCTCACTTTAACTGTGCAAAGGTCTCTCGGAGGACACCCACCATCCACTCTGCTCCTCATCTAATCCAGCCTCTATGCTGACATCAGAGTGACCGTTTCCAAACAGAATCTCATCACTATGGGAAGGAGGCCAAAATCCTTAACCTAGTATACAAGACCCACCTCTCTCGGCTTGCACCGTAGTCCTGCATGCCACCTGGGCTCCAGCCCCGAGGTCTCCTCTGGTTCCTCTCTGTTAATTCCTGCTCATCTTTCAGGGAGATGTTCAGGCGTGGGCTCCTCAGGGAAGCCTGCCACTGCACACACTTCCCATAGCTTTCTGTATGCTTCCTTCATAGCTCTGACCAGGGTTGTCATGGTATACACTGGGGATGTGTGGACTCGAGTGGCCGATGTCTCTGCCCACAGTTGGGTAAGCTTCAAGAGGCCAGGCCTGTGTCAGTTTCCCTTACTGTATTCCCAGCAGCCAACTCCTTGACTGGCATGCAGCTGCTCAGTTAGTATTTACTGAAGGAGAGAAGGGAGGGAAGAAGAAAAAGAGAATTTGATGCTCCTCTTGCTGTATCTACCTTCATGTCTCCATCGTAGTCTTCTCTCTTAGAGAAAAAAAAAAAAAGTATATTGCTTTTTTGGCCCTATGATGAGGTTAGTGTTCTCAACTGGGGGGAAAAAAAAAGCCTCGGGCACCCAATCTAAACTAAATGAAACCCATATCCTTCACCCTCAAACCTACCAGAAGCACAAATTTTAAAATGTCAGACTCCAAGAGAAATGATCATTTAAAAAAAATTAAGTCTGATCAAGAGCTAGTAATCCTTGCACAGTTCTGGGAGGGTGGAAATGCCATCACTGAAAATGACTCATGGTGTCTTTAGGTCTGTGACTGACGCAACCTACACGTGTATTTATCTACTCAACAGATATCGGAGGGCCTCACGTGTGCCTCCTACAAATTCGAATAAAACAGTAGCTTTCAAACTTTTTGTGTTTTACAGCAACTCACAGTAGGAAATACATTTTCTACTGGGATCCAGTGCACAGAGATGCACATAAAAGGCATGAAACAGTGCTTGCCTTTCTCAACAGAAGATGCCTTGATACTTTCTATTTTATTGTTTGTTTTTAGTGCTGGTCATGACCAGCTAAATCAATTTCATGACTCACTATTTGATCACAACCCTTAGTTTAAGAAATCCTGGAATAAAGCGTAATTAGAGTAGCTCCTTCTGAGTAGGCCAAGGATTCCATTGACTTATGCCGGGGTTAGCCCAGGGTGTCAGCCTGCCTGGGGCTGGGATTTTAGGTTGTATACCTCCGGGACCCTGGGGATGGCACATTTAGCATGCCACACGATAGGCACCTGTTGGCCTGCCTTCTTAGAACAGCTCAGTTTTAAATTCTGGTTGAAATAAATCATTTCAAGCAGCCTTGTTGGAGCAGTAGGCAGCCCATCCATCTCATCATCTGAAATAAGTTATTTCAGTTTCTGTGAACTAACCTGATAGGTCATCCATTCTTAACCTGGGGCCTAGGAATAGGCTTCGGGAAATTGTACCTAAAATGTGTGAGTGCACGAGAGTGAAGGGATCCATAGCTGTCATCAGAGTTTTAAACCAGTAAGGAATGAAAAAAAAAGTCTAAGAACGGTTGCCCTGGAGGCTATAAACAGTTTCTGATACTCTTGGAAAATAGTATTGAAAGGGCTGACAGTTTTAGTGTTTGCTGACTCTTCCTCTCGTGGTCTCCCTGATATTATATCCTTCTTCCTTGGTAAACTTGTTCCCATCACACCTTCACCCAGTCAGCCTCGCCCAGGCTAGAAAATGGCAGCTCTTGGCAAGCCCCCCCACCGCTGGCTGGTGCACCTGGGTGAAGACACCGCAGCTCTTGGTAGGGGGGATGGGGGGGCGGGGAGTGCAAAAGGCCAGGACCCAAGTTCAAGTCCTGTGCCATAGAGTCCTACATCCCATCAACAGTGCCCCACTGTGTGGTGTTTCATAAGGGAGCAGCCCCACCTCCAGGAACTTCACTCACAGCTGCTCACAAAAATTACAGTCAACTTTACCACATTTACTAGCTGACTGATTTACAGTCAACTTTACCACATTTACTAGCTGACTGATTTTTTTTTTTTTTTGGTTGATGTAAGCAGTGATCCATTTTAGAAAATGAAAAGTAATGAGGAAACTCAATATATAAAACAGACATAGGTCTAACTGCTGTAGTTCAAGGGGAAGAAAAGCCCCAAGGCTCTCCATAGAGAAGGGGCTGTTGACTAGGCCTTAACTCCGAGGAAATCACAACTTCCTCACTGTGTGATGTTCTTAGAAAAACTCTCTATAAATCCTCTCAGAAAACCCCATGGAATCGCTAGACATCGATCTGCCACAAATGGGAAAATCACATTCCCAGGCCGTAACACTATGGCAGTTAGCAGGGCCGGGGTCACCAGTGTGTGACCTGCTTCCTCACACGGGGCCCCAGATGGACTTCGTGTTCTGCTCTCTCCAGCTTGAAACTCTTCATGTTTTTTTTTTGTTTTTTTTTTGAGACAGAGTCTCACTGTGTCACCCACGCTGGAGTGCAATGGTGCAATCTTGGCTCACTGTAACCTCTGCTTCCCAGGTTCAAGCGATTCTCATGCCTCAGCCTCCCAGCTAGCTGGGATTACAGGTGCCCGCCACCACACCTGGCTAATTTTTGTAATTTTAGTAGGTGGGATTTCACTATGTTGACCAAGCTCGTCTCAAACTCCTGACCTCAGGGGATCCACCCACCTCCGCCTCCCAAAGTGCTGGAATTACAGGCATGAGCCACTGTGCCCGGCCAATTCTTAATGATTTTTAAGCAGCTGCCCCAAATTTTCATTTTGCCACGGGCCCCCGACATTCCATAGCCGGTCCTAACTGGTAGAACTTTGCCTGTTCTTTTGAGTGCCTTTGTTGAGAAAAGTAATTAAGGACCTGCTGACTGGACTGCAGTGACTCAGTGAAGTGCTTGCAGCTTTATGTGAACAACAAGAAACAAAAACAGCACACTGTATTTAGAGCTCCAGACGTCTGTGCGGACCCAAGTCTGCTGGCAGGGGTATTGATGTCGTACTTCGTCATTTCTGAGTGCCATTAGAGCCACCAACCTGTTCTGGGCCTAGGCTGGGTCTGTAAGCGCCCCTGTTCTCGTAAATACTTTATTTGTAGAGTTCCTGCTGCTGGGCTGGCCAGCACTTCCTCATTGTGTGAAATGTGTAGACACAATTGACTTCAGTTCTTGAAAAGTTTTATTTAGCTATGGAATCGTAGTATTTGAGTTGGAAATAACCTTTTATAGCATATCCGACTTGCTGAGGCCCAGAAACTGTGCACATCATATCACTAGGCAAAAGGCCAGGACCCAAGTTCAAGTCCTCTGCCGTAGAGTCCTACATCCTGCCAGCAGTGCCCATCATGTGGTGTTTCATAAGGGGGCAGCATCGCACCCTAGGAACTTCACTCAGAGCTGCTCACAATAATTACAGTCAACATTTGCCACATTTACTAGCTGACTGCATTTTTGTTTTGTTTTGTTTTGTTTTGTTTTGGTTGTTATAAGCAGTGATCCATTTTAGAAAATGAAAAATAATGAGGAAACTCAGTATATAAAACAGACATAGGTCTAACTGCTATAGTTCAAGGGGAAGGAAGAAGAGGTGAGAGAGGGGGCCAGAGGCCTGCCCAGCACCCAAGGAGCTCAGCTTGGAAACCCAGACCTCAGAGCACTCGGTTCTGCAGACACATTGGGGGTGCAGCCAGTGACAGGAGAGTGGGGCGCCAGCAGCATTAGGAACCACCCAGAGACTTCAGGCAAGAGGCTCCTGAGATGTCATTTGCACTGGAAGGCCCTGTTGGCAACAGTGTGGGGGACACATAAGGGGGGTGTCCAGGAAGATGTGACAGCGGCTCCTGCAAGAGGGGACAAGAGCCGGCACAGTGCAGTGGCCTTCAGACACTGGGGAGCAAGACAGGAGAGATCAGAGAGACCATGACCACCTCCTGCTGACCACCTGGATGTGAGGGATGAGGGGGCAGAGGGCATGAAATAAATGGGTTCCCCATGGGGGATGCCACTAGCAAAGAAGAGGCAGCTTGTGAGGAGGAGAGATTGCAGGGAGCTTGATGACCAGAGCTTGGGACCTGCGGAAGGGGAGGGCCCGTGGGACAATTAGGTCCACAAGTGTCCAGGGGGTCAGCTCACCCCAGGGAGATGCCAGGCCCAAGGCTGGAGCTGGACACTACAGAACCCACAGGCACCCTAGAGGACGAGCGGCCCTGTGCCCAGCAGGAAAGGCTGCCAGGCCACTCCACTCCCAGGTGCACCCTCCCTGACCTGAGTGTGTACCGTAGACCAGACCTCGAACTGAAGGGACAGAGGGATTGTGGAATCTCAGATGTATGCCCTAAAATCCCAACCACACACGAGGCAGGAGGAACAGATACTTCGGGGGGATCAGACGTCCGGGTGCAGGGACAGTGTGCCATGAGAATGTTGGGAGACCCTACAGATGATGTCTGGGTGTCAAACGCCCCTTCTGCACACCTGAGAGTCACTTTGCTTCTGTTCCATGTTAGGCAAATCGGGATGGTCAGGACTGTCCCAAGAGAACCAGACTGAGCCACAAGGACCTCTGATGGGGAGTGCTGGACCCTGGGGTTCCCTTGGCCCCCAGATCTCAGATTATGGACCATCAGAGCAGGAATGCCCTAGGGGTCTTCTGACCATCACTCACCTTTTAGAGGCGGAAAGCCAAGCACCATCGTGAATATTACAAGCATGAATGGCAGCCTCATGGAAAGAACCCTCCAGGTGAATCTGAGCATATACAGGGGAACACCTGTTCCTCTTACCTCATATAACAGGCATTAGTGACAGTCACGAGACACTGCAGTATGTATATCTTTTTATTACCAGATGAGATATTATGTGAAAAAACCCTTGAAAAGTACACAGTACGGTGGTACATATTTGCATTTCTTTGCTTGAGGGTTCCCTGAGGAAAGAAACACAGATATATATGGCCTTATATCTTAACAATAATAGTAACGAGGTTGCGTCTTCAGTTTCAACTCAGAAAAATGAAATGTCTCTGAAGTTTTCCAGAGGGTCCTCGTTCTTTTTGAATTTTTTAAAAAATGGGTTCTGCTTGGACTCATCGCAGTTGGCTTCTCAAGGGAACTGGCATCAATCCATGAAGCCGTTGGGTCCTGCTCATAGACACAGCTCTCTGTGCCCAGACGATGTGGACTCTTTGCTACAAGATCCCAGAAACGTATTTACTTTGGAGAAGCATGCCAATTGGGAATACAACTTTCTCACCATGTATACATGTAGTCAGAAGGTTTTGAAGAGCCTGAGAATTGCTAGCTTTCTGTGCATAACATGCCCATGAGACAACTCTATTCTGAAATCTTTTATTTTGAGGATAAATTGACTGAGGGTTCAAAAGATCTTAAATAACTGGACATGAAAGAACATAAGAGTCACGAGGGTGGGGGAGCTGGAAAAGGCGGTGGGCAGACATCAGAAGCTGGTTCTAGACACTGGCAATTCCATTTCTCTCCAAGCTGCTTTCCTCGCCTGTCCTCTGGGAATCTGTACCACCTCTGTCACAGGGTAGAGATCGAGTGAGTGAAATACAGAATGTGAATGAATATCGAAAACCAGAAAGCATTACAAATGCGTCAGCCATTCCGAGCTAAGATGGCACTATTGATTTCAAGACCCGTAATTTCTAGAGAGTCATTGAGAAGTTTCTGAGGGGTGTTGGATGATAGCACGAGTTTGTTTTTCAATTTTGCAAGATAATTTGTTTTATTCCATGGAGAATTAAGGAGAACTAGGCATCGTTTCTGGCCCTGCAAACCCAAAGATGGCGTAAGGTCAACGCTGAGGGGCTTGGGTGGGACAGGAGTGGCGTGGACTTACTGAGGACTAAGCACTGCTCACGTGGAGCTTATCTCAGAGTTTCACAAACGACAGGTGGAGAATGACCGAAGACCACCAACACACGAAGACCGTTTTTGAGGCTATACAAATTTGAACTCACATGACTGATTTTTTTTTTTTGAGACCTAATCTCACTCTGTCACCCAGGCTGCAGTGCAATGGTGCTATCTTGGCTCACTGCAACCTCCGCCTCCTGGGTTCAAGTGATTTTTGTGCCTTGGCCTCTTGAGTAGCTGGAATTACAGGTGCCTGCCACCACACCCAGCTAATTTTTGTATTTTTAATACAGACGGGGTTTCACCATGTTGGCCAGGGTGGTCTCGAACTCCTGACCTCAAATGATCCACCCACCTCGGCCTCCCAAAGTGCTGGGATTACAGGCATGAGCCCCCGCGCCCGGCCACATGACGGATTTTACCATGGTGACGCAGAGCCCTGATTCAGCTCCTAGATTCTAGGAAGCTCAGAGACCTCTCCAGTGGGCTCTTATTCCAATTCTTAGCAAATAGGAGAGTGCTGGGTGGGGGAACTCAATCCTTCCCATCTAGTTAAAATTTCTCATTTCATATGATGACCCTCCACACACTATATTTGGGGAATTGTGGGATTTCCTTTCAGATCCTAACTGGCCAATTCACTTTTTAAATTATCCTCATTTCTACTCACTTGTTTACATCTCCTTTTAAGAATTATTTACATTACAAATGAAACCATCTTTTTTCACCTTCTTCCTCACTCGCTCAAGGCCTTTCTTTATCTTCTCAATGGCTTCATAATCATCTTTGTTTCTACCCAGCAGAGCTTACTCAGGGTGTCACTTGCTTCAGAATGCCGGCCTCTGCAGTGCACACTTGTCCTCCTCCTTGAATCACAAAATTCACCCAATTTTGGAAAGCAGGGTTAAAAAACAGGATTTATGGGGAGGCCGAGGCAGGTGGATCACTTGAGATCAGGAGTTCGAGACCAGCCTGGCCAACATGGTGAAACGCCGTCTCTACTAAAAATTAAAAAAAAAAAAAATCATAGCCGGGCATGGTGTTGCATGCCTGTAATTCCAGCTACTCGGGAGCCTGAGGCAAGAGAATCACTTGAACCCAGGAAGCAGAGGTTGCAATGAGCCAAGATTGCACCACTGTACTCCAGCCTGGGTGGCAGAGCGAGACTCCACCTCAAAAACAAAAACAAAAACAGAATTTAAACAAACTTGGAAAACAAGAAAATAGAAATGTGTAAAATTGCCTATTTGGGGAGCTGAAGGGACCTCTGTTGTCTAGTAGTCAAGCTCCGTCATTTCATGCCCATAGAGACTTAGCCACCTGCCAGGTGGTGGCAAGGCCAGGGCAGGAGCCAGTGAGACCTGGGTGGGGAGGGGAGAGACACCTTAGAGTCAGCCACATTGCTGTCCAAGGTTACTTTACATTGTAGCATAAAGGTCACAGCAGTGCTACATTTTACTAATTGGTTTTACACTGAAATGTTTTAGTTTTAGGGTTTGTTTTTTTTTTTTAACAAATGGAGCTAAATGCTGCAGAATGTTAATTTATAAAACACTGTCAAGGACTCAAAACCAGAAGAATTCATGCAGATACTAATAAAACAGAGTCATTGTGCATTAGATTTTCCCGCTCAAAGGCATCTTAGAGCTTATCTAATTGAACATTTTATCTGTGAAGAAATTTAGTCCCCATGTGGAAGTGCTATAATAATAGTTTAAGGACACAGAATTAGTTAATATGATTTCTTGATTTTGTTTCTTCATACAATTAAGCAGATAGGACTTATTTTCACAAAAGGAGCTGAGAAGAGAGTGTGGGGGAAGAAACCATACCTGATACATTGCTTTACCCAAGAGAACCCTCTGTCTTAGTCCATTTTCTGTTGCTATAACAATACCTGAGACTATGTAATGTACAAAGAAAAGGGATTTATTTCTTAGGGTTCTGGAGGCTGGAAAGTCCAAGATCGAGGGAATGCATCTGATGAGGGCCTTCTTGCTGATGGGGACACTGCAGAGTCTCAAGGTGGCCCAACGCATCACATATGGCGAGGGGGCTGGGCATGCTGGCTCAGGTCTCCCTTCCTCCTCTTATGAAGCCATGAAGGCCTCACCCTGATGGCCTCAGCTGCCCCTAATTACCTCTCAATTACCATAGTCAGATTTCTTATCCTCTTAATACAGCTACAGTGTGGATTAAGTTTCAATGTGAGTTTCAGAGGGGACAAATATTCAAACCCTAGCACCCTCCAAGCTCCACAATCGGAACAATAATGTTTGCCAAGCAGCTTTATCAAATCCATGTCTCTGTAAGAAGTTTCTGCTTCTTCCAACATTCACTTTGCTGAGGATGAGGCCACCTTGACTTGATTGAGGGTGGATATCTCCACACATGGGCAGGTTCTTTTCTTGTGCTGCAGAGTCCCAAGGGACCCTGGACACAAAGGCCAGGCCTGGTGTGGCAGGTCCCATTGTGGCCACATTCCTGCTGCCATGCTGGGCCTTGGGTACCCATCACCCGATCAGCCTGAGTGTCTGCTCCAGCAGAGACGCTTTGGGTCCTCAGGGCACTCTGGCACAGCAACCAGCAGAGAATTGGAGTGTGAGGCAGTCACAGGTGGTGGCTGAGGTGCAGATGAACGTGTGGGTTCCAATGCTGACTCCTCCATCTGCACTTTTCTTACCTGCAAAATGGGAATAATAACATTGAGTTCATCTGGTTTCATGAGAATTAAATGACACAGTCCATGTAAAATTCTTAGCACAGTGCCCAACACAAAGCAAGGTCAGTTAGAAAGATTAGATTAAAACAGGGGAAGGTGGAGTAAGGCAGGTGAAGTTGCTTTTCAGAACTCTCCTGAGTCATCGGACACAGTAGCAAAGCTTTTATAACTTAGATCTTACCAAAAGACCTAGAGCCGCATGAATCATTTACAGTCTAAGGAAGGGCTTGGTCCTCTAATCCTTCAGCTAGTTTAATATTTAAATGTTCCTATTGCATAATTTTATGAATTATGTGGTGACCATAGAGGCCAGATACAATATGTACCACTGGATCTCAACTTTCGTCTTTCTAAACAACAAATGGAATATACCTCATAGGGCAAAATTTTTCTAATTTTGGAGGTAAAAAAGCCCTACGTTTAAAGAAAAGTATTTTCTACTTCAGACCTTTAAAAACATGCGACTTAATTTAAATGTGATTAACATTTAAATTAGAAATTTAAACTTCAATTGCACATTTCCATCTATTTTCCACCAGATTCTCAAGATGCTCTTGGGGAACGAGGCTGGGATTCTCATTCCCCACATCCTGACCAAGCTGAGCCACCGTCTGCCAAGAGCCTGTGACCGCTGCATGGAAAATGCAGAATCCTGGCTCTGGGTCCCCTCTCCATTACCCATGCCTGGCCACAGGACATAATTTTTATTGAACTCTGGATCCACTCTTGAGGGCCTGTGTTAGAACCCGACTTCTGGGAGAGTTCAAATTCTTAACATTTCTTGCCAAACATTTCGTTCGATCTCCAGCAGCCTTCAGATACAACTTTTGCAAATACTTTCCCCTCAATATTTCAGTGGAGTTTTTGGTCCCTGTCCTATTGTAATAATTCTCTGCTTCTCCATATTTTTAAGGCCCCTTTTTCATATTTGATCTCTTCCAGAAATTAAATCTTCCTCTAATCTGAGGAAAGGCACAGCTGACTAAGCTCAGGATGGGGCCAGTGTCCTAACCTTTCTGACTGATTTCCTCCGCTGTCAGATATGGATTATAGCGCCTACCCCCAGGGCTGCTGTCAAGTTAAATGAAATGGTGCTTCCAGCAGATACTCAGTAACTGGTAGCTTTCCTTAATCCTTAATAATATTCTTTTCGGCTGGGCATGGTGTTCATGCCTGTAATCCCAGCACTTTGGGAGGCTGAGGCAGGTGGATCACCTGAGGTCAGGAGTTCGAGACCAGCCTGACCAACATGGCAAAATCCCATCTCCACTAAAAATACAAAAAAAAAAAAAAAAAAAAAAATAGCCAGATGTGGCGGCGTGCATGCCTATAGTCCCAGCCACTCGGGAGGCTGAGGCAGGAGATATCGCTTGAACCCGGGAGGCAGAGGCTGCAATGAGCCGAGATCATACCATTGCACTCCAGCCTGGGCAACAGAGCAAGGCTCCATTTCAAAATATAAATAAATAAAATAAAATTGTTTTCATCATTATTTAGAGTTTTAGGTTCACAAAATAGGACCATAGCTCTTTTTCCTGAACTATGTTCCCACTGACCACTTTAATGGAACCTTCTTTGCCCACTTAGGATCTGAGGGCAGGTGACTTGCATTCCACTGTAGCCTCTGGGGCTCTCACTGGTACCCCATGGAGCTTGAGTAAAACCACCCCTGCCTCCCACTATCTCTCTCCTCCCACTCTTTCTGCATGAGCTGATCCATGTGAACTGTTGTCAGCTCTTAGCACCTAGTCAGTATCTCCCAGCTCTCAGCCTTCTCAGAACGTATGCAGAAGTCCTGGAACCCTGTTTTGTCTTGTGCTTGGCATGCCTAGAATCTCATGTTTTGCCCGCGTTTGCCAGTGTCTTCACCTGGCAAGCTGGAGTAGTGATCGCTCATAAACCTACTAAACGAGATTGAAGACATTTCTGCCTTTACTTAATCCATAGTTACTGGGTGTCTACTGCATGCCAGGCACTTAGGTGCCAGGGCTCTGAGGGTGACTAGAAATGATTCCTCCCCTCTGGGAGCCAGCTGGATGAAAGAGGAGAGCAGGTCCACAGGTCACTGCAGGCAGCTCGGTGCCACCAGAGGCATGGCCAGGATCCCCGGGCTAGCTAACTCAATCTTGTTATTTTCTAGAACCTTCCAGGTATTCCAGCCATCCCCCACCCTCAGTATTCCATTCACCAGCTGGCTCTTAGGGAGTAGCTCCTCATCTTTTGATATGGTTAGGCTTTGTGTCCCCACCCAAATCTCATCCTTAATTGTAGTTCCCATAATCCCCATGTGTGGTGGGAGGAGCTGGTGGGAGGTAATTGAATCATGGGGGCAGTTTCCCCCATGCTATTCTCATGATAGTGAGTGAGTTCTCATGAGACCTGATGGTTTTATAAGGGACTTCCCCCTTCACTTGCCTCTCATTCTTCTCTCTCCTTCTGCCTTGTGAAGAAGGATGTGTTTGCGTCCCCTTCCACCATGATTATAAGTTTCCTGAAGCCTTGCCAGCCCTGCAGAACTGTGAATCGATTAAACCTCTTTCCTTTATAAATTACCCAGTCTCGGGTATGCCCTTATAGCAGCATGAGAACAGACTCATACATCTTTTTTTTTTTTTTTTTTTTTGAGACAGAGTCTTGCTCTGTCGCTCAGGCTTTAGTGCAGTGGCATGATCTCAGCTCACTGCAGCTTGCACCCTCCACCTCCTGGGTTCAAGCGGTTCTCCTGCCTCAGCCTCCTGAGTAGCTGGGACTATAGGCACACACCACCACACCCAGCTAATTTTTGTATTTTTAGTAGAGACGGGGTTTCACCATGTTGGCCAGGATATTCTCGATCTCCTGACCTCGTGATCTGCCCGCCTCGGCCTCCCAAAATGCTGGGATTGCAGGCGTGAGCCACCACACCCAGCCCTAATACATCTTTTAAATAAAGGAATCCTCCAGTGATACTGTGGTATAAAGACCACTCCCTTTTGGCAGGACCCAAACTTTAGAATCAAGGAATGTGGCAACAACTTCAAAGTGTTTGTTTAAAGAACTTCCCATCACACGTGCCCCTAACCCTACCCTGGCACACAGGACAGCCATTCAATTTTTCCACACAGAAAGTATAGAAATAATACTCTAAATATGGCTGTGTGGAGCTTCTCAGATGTGTTCACTTGGGCCCCTGAGAGCAATGTCATGTGTTGGTTGCAGTCACTTGCTCTCTTCCCAGCTCAGCTTGTGCCTAATTCTTGCCAACTTTCTATCCTGGACACTGAATGACACTAGCCTCCCCATTGGAAGGTATAACTCTAGCAGCTCTTTAGCTTCCGCTCCTCTGAGCGCATTCAGAGCTGGAGGCAGGAGGGTGGCTCTCCCAGCAGGACAGGATGGGCCACCATGTGAGGTCTCCCTGCTTTTCCATGGCCTGTTCTCATCCTTGACCTGAAAAGAAAGAATGCTGTCTGCTACCAACAATGGCAATCAAGCTGACTGACATGGAAGCTAAATTAGGAGTTCGTTCCTTGGATCTGAGGAATATTTTAGTGTCTGAAAATTGTGTCCTCACCAAATAACACAAGGAACTCTTTGAAGCCATGGTGTCCTATGTTGTGGCAGTTTCTTCTTAGTATTCCGAGCACCTGATACAGTGCTGGGTACATGGAAAATACTCAGTAAAGGCAGTGTAGCATTTAATGGACAGGAGCTCAGGTTAGGAGACAGATAGAGCTGGGCCCCCATCCCAGCTTTGCGATACACTAACTGTGTGACCTTGGGCAATGCACTTACTCCTGCAGATGTCCTTTTGATAAGATGAGAGTGTATTCAGTTACTTGACAAATGTGTGTTAGGCTTAGAGTAGGGTTGGCAGACAAGCACAAGTGAAAAACAAATGTGAGCATGTCTTAGTCCATTTTGTGCTGCTGTGACAGAGTACCACAGACCGGGTAACTTATAAAGAGCAGAGATTTAGTCCTTACAGTTCTGGAGGCTGGGAAGTCCACGGCCACGGGGCCTACATCTGAAGGGTCTTCTTGCTGTGTCCTCCCATGGCAGAAGGCAGGAGGGCAAGAGAGTGTGAGAGGCGGAGGGGGATCATTCCTTTATCAGGAGCCCGCTCCCACAATAACAGCATTAATCCTAAGCCATTCATGAGAGCAGAGCCCTCATGACCTCATCCCCTCTTCAATGCCCCACCTCTCAACACTGTTGCACTGGGGACTAAGTTTCCAACACACGAACTTCGGGGGACACATTCAGACCATAGCAGATGATTTCAGATGAAGCCAGGGTAAAGCCGATAGGACTTGCTCATGGTTTGGATGTGGGGGTGAGAGAAAGGGCGGGGTCAGGAAAGATGCCTGGGGTTCTGAGTTGAGCAACTGGTCAGATAGAGAGTCTGAAGAGGCACGTGTTTGGGGAGGGAGGACAGGATGTCCTCTCCAGGACAAGTCAAGTCTGAGGGCCAGTCAGGCCATGCAGCAGGAGTCTGTTGCTGAAGGTGAGAGGCCGCCGTTTTGGAGTCATCAGTGTAGAGTGGCATTTGGACCTTGAGATGAAAAGGGATTGCCAGTGAGAGAGAAAGACAGTCCATGGAAAAGAGACCCTGGGTGCAACTGATCATCAGATGTTGGGCAGAGAGGAAAGCACAGAAAGGGAGGTGGGGAGAGCACGCAGGCTCGAGGTGTAAGAATGTGGGGTGGGGATTAGGCCAGTGAGAACTCCGGCCTGAGGACTGTGATGCTTTCTGACTCCCCGGAGGCACCCGCCGAGCCTCTCAGACTCATTACCACCATAAACTCAACAAACACAACAGAGGACATGAAAAATATTCAGTAGGATAATTTCTCGGTGAGCCTAGATTTTTAGTGGGATTCCTGCCACTAAAATCCCAGAAATAGTTTGCCAGAAAAAGTTTTCAATACAAGTTTCTAGACAGGAACTGCTTTTAGCTCAGGGCTACCGGAGAGCCAGGAGTTCACACTCATCTCTAAGACGGCGCTGGTTTCCCAAGAAGCTCCCAGACTCCACGAGCAACTGTCTCGTCCGCATCATCTGTTGCTTTCATTTCAGTAGTTACTCTGCCTCCGTCGGGAAAGCACAGTGTCACAGCTTAGCTGTTATTAAACTTTCTAAGCTAAAAATACAACCTGCCTGCTATGGTAGAAATGGTCTGTAGTGTGCTGCAAGACCTTCATGCTTCAGATGGGGTGTACCTGGTGTTAACGATGCCTCCCAGACCCTACATTCTTCTTTGCTGATAGGCGATTTTCACTTCAGTTGAGAGGCTCAAACCCACCGCATGTGGGATTGAGAGATCAGCTTTCCTAGAGTGAATAGGAGATTCCATCCCAGCATGTGCTTTTATGCCCCCAGCTTTCACTCTCATGCCCATTTTCTGTAGTCATACATTGAGAAGAAAAGTGGTTTCTCAAAATGATGGCCTCCAAGTCTTAGGAAATTCTGGCTGATTCAGATTTTTTTCTCTCTGTGCACGTTGACACATAGATAGATTTCTCATGATACAGACTGTGCAGATCAGTAACTCGGGGAAATGAGGTTTGTTCGTTGTCAATATTTAAACACTTAATTTTTTTTAGAGCTGTTTTAGGTTCACAGCAAAATTGAGAGGCAGGTCCAGAGAGTTCCCATCTCCCCCTCCCCTCCACATGCACAGCCTCCCCCATTATCAACATCTCCCATCATAGTGGATAAATTTGGCAGGATTGATGAACGTGCATTGATACATCACTATCATGCAACGTCCACAGTTTACATTAGGGTTCACTCTAGGTGTGGTACATTCTGTGGCTTTGGGCAAACGTATGGATTGCATGTTTCTGTCATTCCAGTATCACACAGAGTATTTCCCCGGCCCCGGGTATTCTCTGTGATACACCCGATACACCTGTGCAGCCCTCCCCAGCCCCAGGGAGGTTGTTTTTATTCAGGGTTTGCTTTTCCAGCTGGGGGGGGGGCGGCGGGGGCAGCAACACATGTTAACATGTAACTCACATGGGTAGGCTTATACAAATTATTTTCCCTGAGTGTCAGCATCTTATAGGCCATCAGCTTATCACCAAGCCAGGGAGCTCTGAAATCTCTCCTCAAGTCCTCTGCTCAGATTGGCTGTTTCTTATTACTACCACTTGGCAGGCAGCAATGATTATCTTGCACTTCCTCTGCCGCCACTATCATTCAGGTGTCCTCATGCCCTTTTCAAGAAACAAGCTTGCATTTGACCAAAAATGCAAGATGACCGATTTATGATACATGACCAGAAAGTCATGATACTGACTGCCTTGCCTAAGTTTATAATGTTTTATTTATATGGTCACACCTCATATAGCACTCCCGGTATATTTTCAAGCACATAGAGATAGATAAAATATGAAAACTGGATACAAGTTCAGCTTAGAAAACAGCCGGAGGAGAAAGCTAAGTCATATGCCCAGCGGTGTCCTCCCCAGCCGCCACAGGCAGTCTTGTATGAGCGAGTATGTTAGAATGGTGTTCTCAATAGAAGATCAGCTGAGTAGTCAAGAGAAGCCCTTTGCCATTACTTGCAAGGGGAAGAACAAATCTCAAATGCATTACAGACTTTGTGTGCAGATGTCCAGGTGAGAGGCCTGGGGTCTGCACTTAGGGTACCATGGGTAACCATGTGATGATGCCCATATCGGACCCTCTGTCATTTATAAAGTGCCAGAGGCGGCATGGACAGTAAGAAGATGGGAGCAGCTCTGAAAGGCATGGCCTCAAGTTCTAGTTCCACTGCTTCTGAGCTGAATGGCCCCGTGCAGGCAGTCTCCCATCTCTGTAAGCCTCAGTTTGCCCATCTGTAAAATAGGGTAACACCATCGTTTTCTTCATAGGAATGTTTTGAGGCCCAATGCATTAATAAATGTGATGGATATCTGCTGAACGGTTGTAACTGAGGACAAAGGATTGTCCCTCTGTCCTGTCCCAGGCCCCTTGTGGCCTCTCTCTATGGCCATTTACTATGCAATGCAGGTCACTTGATCGACATCCAGCCCCAGCCCAGAACTTACCATCAGGCGGTGTTGGTTCCCTCTTAAGGGAAGGTTGTTCAGTGAATGCAAAGAAGTTTCTTTTACCAAAGAGAGGAATCTTTACTTTCCAAAAGAAATGAGAATTTGCCCTCCTGTTTCTTTAAGTTGCCATTTGAGAAGAATGCATATGCTTTGTTTTTTCAAAACAGCTACGTTCTGTTGAAAGAATGACGATGTCCTTGAACTGTCTTGATGAGAAACATTTCTCTGAGTGGTTAATTTGGAAATATGCAGAATAATATCATTGTGTTATACTATCAGAGTATTGGGTGGGAGGGGCGGGGCTCCTGCAAGTAAAAAGACATTTTATTAATTGATTTCCACTTTTTTTTTTTTTCTGCCTCTCATTTCAGAACGGTTTGATCACCACTGTCCCTGGGTAGGCAACTGTGTGGGGAAAAGAAACTACAGATTTTTTTATATGTTTATTTTATCTCTGTCTTTTCTGACAGTCTTTATATTTGCATTCGTTATCACCCACGTCATTCTTCGTAAGTATGCTGGCGAAATCAGATTACGTATGTAACCATTTGCCTGACTTTGATTTTCCTATTTGATTTTGATTTAATATTTTGGTCATTTCGGGCTTTCTCTTTCCCTTTCTTTCTCCCTTTCCCCTCCTCACTTCCAGCCTGCCTCGCTTTTGTTTCTCACCCTCCTCCATCCCTCCTCCGTCCCCTGTCATCCCCCACTCCCCACCCCATCTTTCACAGCACTTTCCAGGGGTCGCACCTAGGCCAGGCTGCGCTTTCACCAAACAATACCTCCTCCTTGATACGCACATCCCTATTCCAACCTCAGTGACCTCACTTTTTCTCCTGCTAAGGGGTCCCCTGGAAGACTCATCCCCACATTTTGCACAAAGGACAATGTGCTGCAGTGATGACCATTGAAGAGCAGAGTTTTCTTCCTTAATGTGATAATCTCCTTATGTAAGAACAGTCACCAGTCACCCTCCCTAGAAAAGATGTCTGGTGAGAAAGACTAGGTTTTCTTGCACACAAATCTATATAGGTTAAAAACATACATTTGACAAGATGTTTACGTATCTGCTAGAACATGAGCTAACTACCCCTGGCATATATATAAAGGAAGCAACTTTGATTAAAAATTAGATTTGGAAATCAATTATTTTAATATCTATTTGCCTAAGCAAATGGCATTTTTTCATTTTCCATTCTGAGGGTTATAACTTTGAATTGCTTTTGTCTCTTGGTCATTCACTTTTCTACAATAGAAAGTGATGAGAAGGAAGTGAATTTGCCTTGAGTTATAAATTTAGGCCTTTGAACTTCCATTACAGTACCAACAGCAACACTAAGCACTAGCCTTGCCTCTTGTCCGCATTCCTGAAGCATAACCCTTCATTAGCAAGTCCGTAGCTTCTTTCTGGAATGTTTCCGTAAGTATCTGCACAACGGCTTCACTTCCTTCCCAGGCCGCGGTGCTCAAACCACAAATGGCGTGGGCTGGGCTCAGGCTCACGTTAGGAGTACATCTTCCTCCCTTTCTCTTCTGGTGGGTTCGTATGGGGGTGGGGAAGTGGGTGGGAGAGAATGTTTTGCATTCATTCTTTTTGAATATTAGTCAAATTGGGCCGTTAAATGGAACATCCCAAATTTTCATAGGTACTTTCAATCCTAGTTGCCATTCTTTCTGACTATAATCTTTCATCCAAACGTGACACAAATGTGTAATATGTGCTTGAGAGCCATGACTTGGTGGGCTTGCAAGAGGACAATGGACACCCGCCTTTTCCACATCAGCTGGGCAGGATGCAGACAGGGGCACCCTCTCCCTCTATTTTCAAAGTCCTCAAAATGGCAAAAATGTGGCTAGGGTCCTATCTGTGCATTAATAGACAAAAGAAGCAGAGAGAATGACTAGGGCATTATATGTTATTTTCAAAGAAGCAGTTGTTGACACAACTAGGGAAGAAATACGAACCGATCCTCCAGCACACACGTAACACTGAAAAGCAGTGTTTAGACATTATTTATTTTTATTTTTGAGATGGAGTGTCGCTCTGTTGCCTCAGCTGGAGTGCAGTGGCGGGATCTCGGCTCACTGCAGCCCCTGCCTCCCAGGTTCAAGCAATTCTCCTGCCTCGAGTAGCTGGGATTACAGGCGTGGGCCACAGCACCCGGCTGATTTTTGTATTTTTAGTAGAGATAGGGTTTCACCATCTTGGCCAGACTGGTCTCAAACTCCTGACCTCAGGTGATCCGCCTGCTTCGGCCTCCCAAAGTGCTGGGATTACAGGCGTGAGCCACCCCACCCGGCCTAGACATTGTATTTTTATATCACCTTTCACAACCTCAAGATGCTTTTGTGTGTATTATGGGATTGTATTTATGGCCTTGTCCCTGCATTGTGGATGTCAAGGGCCAGTTGCCACGTGCTTAGTCATATACCTAAACTCAGGGAACACACACACGCATGCTTATGGACTCACACACACTCACACTCTTACCCACACTCATTCTAGCCACACTCACACTCATATATACTCACCAATACGCTCACACTCACACATATCCTTACACACCCACACTCTCACATACCCTTACACACCCACACACCCTTACACACTCACACTCACGGTAGCCACACTCATGTATAACCAATATGCTCACACATGTACCCTTACACACCCACACTCATACTAGCCATACTCACACTCATATATACTCACCAATAAGCTCACACACATACCCTTACACACCCACACACCGCCTTACACACACATACTCGTACACGCCCACACACACCCTTACACACCCACACACATACCCTTACACAGCCACACACATACCCTTGGACACCCACACTCACTCTAGCCACTCATATATACTCACCAATAAGCTCACACACACATAGCCTTACACACACATCCTTACCCACATTTACACACTCATACCCTTACACTGTCACACTCACATGTACCCTTACACACCCACACTCACACACACCCTTACCCACACTCACACACACCCTTACACACCCACACTCTCACACCTTTACACACCCACTCACACACATACCCTTACCCCCACACACCCTTATACACCCACACTCACACTCTAGCTACACCCACACTCATATATAGTCACCAATATGCTCACACTCTCGCACTCACATGCTGTCGTGCTCGCTCACATACCGTTGCACACTCACATGCTCTCACACACTCTCACGGTGAAATCTGTGCCTGCCACCACACTCAGGTTGCGATGTGTGTTTCACTTTTAGCTCCTCTAAGGTTTTACTCACCTGGCTCCACCAAACTGGATTTTACCATAGTCTATACTTAAATACTGTTCATCTCTTCTTCTACACAAAAGTATTAAGAATTTACCTGCCTGCAAGTTATTGGAATATCCTGGGCAAAAGCAAATAAAACTTTCCCTTTTCCCTTGTTTGACACCCCCTCATCAGTGACCCCCACGACACGACCCCACCACCCTATCTGGCTTGGCATGTGATGCTTCAGGAAGGGCACAGGGTTTCCACGGCTCCTGTTACCCTCTTAAGCCTCAGAAAACATTGGCACAGGCAGAGAGGAGAGCTGTCATCTGAGTCTCTCTGTGGGATCCTGGGCTCTTAGGGAAAGGCCAGACAGGGAGGGGCGGGAGAGATTTCTGTGGCCTCCAAGATTCCTGGGAAGGCGAAGTCTGGATTTCCTTGGAGAGGAAGGAGGGCTTAGGCCAGCCACATAATTAGGGTGCAGTAGACAAACAGAAATCATTTCTTTTGGTCCCTCATCTGCCTCAAGGCTGTGTTTGCTCCACATGGCCGCACAGGCACTTGCGTCTGTGCCCTTTGGGGCTGGCAGAGATGGAGGAGAAAGCCTTAAGCACCATCTCTCCTGATTAGCGCTCCACGCAGCTTCTCTTCACAGCCCCTCCCACACACTGTGTCCCACTACTCAGACACATGGGCCGTGGGCACAGAGGGAAAGGGACCTTGGGAAGAATAGGGAGCCAAGCCACTCTTCACCCTCCCAGGTGTCGCCCATAGTGGGGCACATGGGGACACGGTGGCCACTCACCCCCTGCCACTGAGTCCCACAGTGCAGCTGGGCCTGTGGTCAGATGCCACAGGGACACCATAGCACCCGTAGAGTGTGTCATTTCCTTGGTGCACGAGGGCCGGATGATGTCCCCAGAGGCTCACTGGCTTCCCACAGCACAGAGGGACCTGGCACCGCTACCCTAAGATGGAATTGTTAAAACTACCTCCATTTTTATTTTTAAAAGTATGATGTCAATGCATAAAATAAAAATTGCTTTCTGTCAGATGCTTCTTTATTCAAGCCCCTAAAGAAATGTTTTCTTGCCTAAGACAGCTCATATTAAAATGTCTAAAGCCCAAGAGAAGTCTAATAAATTTCAGCTTTATGACTTTGTTTACTCTGGGTGTAGAAAAAGAATTCTTTTATACGTAGCCTAGTTTCCAGAACTTCCAGGGTCAAAAGTTAACAAATTTGGGGAAAACAGAAGAGAAAAGATAGCATACAGTATTCTGTTTTCCTATTAAAATGAGGAAAACAAAGGAGTCATCAGAACTATAATTTACGGGAAAGTGTGCAGACATCCATCTGCTTTTATTGAAAAAATACCCTGCAGATGTTGGGCCTAATTATGAATCCTCCATTTTCTTGATGAAAAACTTTAGTGGCATCTCAATCTCTGATCGGTAAACTGGGTGTCGTAGCACTTACAAAATAGAATTATTTCATTGATCTTTAGCCATCTATTATTTTTTTGTAGATGAGAGAGCATTCAGCATGAAGGCTGTTTCTATCTGAATACTAAATGTTGGTTTCATTCCCACAGGTTCACAGCAAACAGGATTCCTAAATGCCCTTAAGGACAGTCCTGCAAGATATCCTTTGTGATGATTCTGTTTTCACGATGCTAATGTGTTGAGTATCTGGCTGACCTTCTGTGCGCACACCTCCTCATCTTCTGCCCCGGCCTTGCTTCTCATGTATCTTATTCCAAAGAACTCCCTCAGATTCACTGGCACGAGTAGTAGCTTCTGACTACTTCCATCCCTGAGTGACTCAGCCTGTTTAAATCGAGGGCTAGGAAGCCAAGTATGAATTCTTATCCACCCCCAGAAATCAGCATGGATTTGTGTTCAGTCAGGTTGGTTTGGGGAGAAGTAGGGCTGTGAGCTGCAACTGATCTCATTTTGATTGGCAGGTGGTCCACACAGAACATGTAGGGATGCCCACGTGTGGGTTGCATCCTGGCATGCAGTCACCAGGTGAGAGTCCTCAGACCCCTCTGTTCCGATTCTGTTGGGGGTTACAGTTTGCCATTCGGATTACTGTATTATTTCCAGGAACAGAACACCCTTTTAAACCCTGAATAGATTAAAAATGGTCAGTCTCAAGTCATTTGGATTAATGAGGAGGATTCCCATCCTCCCAAGCATAAATATGGGGATGGACCATAGTATTTTGAATCTTGAAAGAAAAGCGTGTGCCCATTAAGTGCTTGAATGAGGTCCTATCCCTCCCAGGGGCCCCAGGCTTTAATACAGATGGGACCCCCTGATCTGGCTCGTCAGTGACCCAGTTCTCTTTCTTCCTCATATAATCAGGTAGACTGGACTTGAACTTCTCATTACTCTTCAGAGTAATTTCCGTCTTGAGGAAGGGAATTATTCGTTTTTGTTTGTTTTGTTTTGTTTGAGACCAAGTCTTACCCCATCACCCACCCAGGCTGGAGTGCAGTGGCACGATCTTGGCTCACTACAACCTCGGCCTCCCAAGTAGCTGGGATTACAGGTATGTGCCACCATGCCCGGCTAATTTTTGTATTTTTAGTAGAGACGGGGTTTCACCATGTTGGCCAGGCTGGTCTCAAACTGCTGACCTCAGGTGATCTGCCCACCTGGCCCTCCCCAAGTGTTGGGATTACAGGCATCAGCCACCACACCCAGCAAGGTAGGGATTTCTTAAGAATGAAGAACTTTAATATGACTTATGTATGTATCATGTTCTTAAAGTCAACCTGCCATGTCCCTGAGAACTGGTATGTGTGTTTGAGCAGGGGAGGGATTTCGATACATCTAAAAACAAATGTGATCCTATAAATATAAATATATATATATGTTTCCATAATAGATGGTATCTCTTTTTCCAGTACCTCTGTGTTTGTGGGCAGCATAGGATGTTGGTTACAGGTCCAGATTCTATCGTCAACTAATACTTTTTAAACTCAGATCTGTACTGTGGATGGGGCCTGGGACATAAGGAAGATGTACAAAGGGGACTTGGAGGATAAATTCAACAAATAGGTCATGTCTTCTATTAATGATTTGGGAAGAAGTTGACTGGAAGGAAAGGTGGCCCAGGGAATGAATGAAATCTTCAATACCTGTGCTATTAGGATCAGGTCCAGCGAGAAATGTCCTCCTCCGTTCCTCTCCCCAACTCTACCAGGGGTGACATCCCCCCACTATCACCTCTCTGTGCCCTTCTGTTTTCAGAGAACATTGCTTCCTCAAAGCTCATAGCCAAGTCGCCTCTCCCTTCCTAAAGAAAAGGCTTGCCTAAGTCTTACAAGGAACCGTTTGTGTCATGAAAGCATGCTGGTCACATTAAGTTTTAAAAATGTGCCTCAGAACTGGCACTGGGGCCCGGGCTGCCAGCTGGAAGATTTTCTGAAGCCTCACATATGTGGCAGCTTCAGCCAACTCCCCCCAATTCTGTCCTGGCACCTGTGCCTCCCTGAAACCCTGTGCGTGTGCAGGAGGCCTGGTGCATGTTTCAGACACAAATATCCAACACAGGAGTGCCTCTCGGCTGGGAGGGGGAAGCACTTCCTCGCTGCTGAGAAAGGCCACCCTCAAAGCCTGGTCATTCCAGCTGCCTTGTGTCTGGCCTGCTGGCGGCTTCTGCTCCGTACGTGTCCCCTGGGAGCCACCCTTCAGGTGGAGCATAGAGGGGCTGTGTGTAGAGTGGCCTTGTTGCTACCTGGTCTTTTTTTTTTTTTCCCCCTGAAACGGAGTCTCACTCTGTCGCCCAGGCTGGAGTGCACTGGCACGATCTCGGCTCACTGCAACCTCCGCCTCCCGGGTTCAAGCGATTCTCCTGCTTCAGCCTCCTGAGTAGCTGGGATTACAGGTGCTGTGCCACCACACTTGGCTAATTTTTATATTTTAAGTAGAGACGGGGTTTCACCATGTTGGTCAGGCTGGTCTTGAACTCCTGACCTCGTGATCTGCCTGCCTCGGCCTCCCAAAGTGTTGGGATTACAGGCGTGAGCTACCGCGCCCAGCCACTGCCTGGTCTTTATCAGAGCTCCTGACAGACCTCCCAAGTCATGCATCTTATCCTATCAAGATCCCAGAAGGGCTGTTATTAGAGACCAAGTAGGCAGTCCTGGACTGGGGTCAAATCTTTTAATACCTGCTCCATGGCAATTAATTATGAGGTCCGGAGTCATTTCTTAACCCTTTTGTGTCTCAATTTTTTGACCTGCAATAGTCAACCACTATGTACTTGACAATGATATGCTGACAAAGTCAGTTATTCAGGAAATACAGGAAAGACTCAGCTCCAAAGCACGGCTTCCAGGTGTGGCCAGAGGGATTTCAAAGAGACTCTGCCAGAACCTTCTTTGAGAGCACACGTCTGCACGCTGCATGGTGTGGCTGGGCTGACAGTCTGCAGAACCAGGAACACGGCATCCCCCTTAGGGGCACAGACCGGTGCTGCTGTTAGGAAGCAAGCGTGGCAGTAGCGTGCTGGCCGTGCCCGGAGCCTGCAGCGGGAAGGAGTGCGGGAAGGGAAGGGAGGAAAAGAGATGCTCTTACTTATTCAGGCCAGAGCAAATTTTATTTTCCCCTAAAAATCATTCTCGGATGGAGGTAAAGAGTTTTCCCTATTGGCCCAGTTTTTGAAAACGCATAGAAGTCTCAGCCGCTGCCTTTCCAAATAGTGTTTCCTCATCTGGGTGCTGACTCTTTCCTCCCACAGCCAGGCGCTCCCCCTTGCAGGAGTTCCCGGCACCTCCTCCACACTCAGGGGCAGGGCAGCCACAGCCTGCTGACCGCATGCAGGTCCTAAAAACCCAGACGCAGGCCACACCCGCACCTCCAGCCAAGGCCTTCCAAAATGTCAGCCAGGGCGTAGAGCCTGAAAGAAACACACATCCCTCATCGCACAGGTCACTTGATGGATTTAAACACACACACACACACACAGCGCTGTCTATCCTTAGATGTGTGTGTATGTATGTATTTTTAAGCCCTCATATATACATGTGTATATAGCTATAGACGCACACACACACATATATAAGGACTATATAAGGATATATAAGTGTGTGTGTGTGTGTGTGTGTGTGCATGCATCTATATCTGTATGTCTATCAGTAAGTACAGATGTAGACAGACATGTCCTCCCCAGAGTTCAGGTTGGAAATGCTCGCGGGATACCCCGAAGGCCCTTGCTGGCCCACGCTGCTCACAGGGAGGCTGCCCATCCTCACTTCCCTCCTGCTGATTCGCTCCCTGCTTGGTCTTGTGGCACCTACATTATGGACCCGAGGTCCTGCTGGGCTCCTGCCTGGGAAAAGGAGACTTAACTTTAAACCCAGAATATCCCAGGGCAGCCAAGAAAAAGACCCTAACAAAACCCCATTCCCCCTGGAGAAAAGTGGGGTCTAAAAGCAAGGTCTGGGAAGAGCCAGCAAAGCTGTTCCTAGCGCAGGAGAAGTGAGCAGTGTGGGCAGCACCCTAGCCTGGGTCTCCTTAATCCTTTCTGGAAGCAGGAGTGAATTTCAAGAACATCAGACACACACCCACTCTGCGAAGCAAGGTGCTGGGTGCTTTAACGTGCAAAGTACAGAGACATTTCTTCGGTGTGCCACTGACGCCCCTCCCCTCATCGATGCTGTGGTTGCCTAAAGGTTCTGTGTTCCGACAGGGTGCTTTCTGTTTGAAATATGTGCCTTGGAGAAGAGTTCCTCCTCCAGTGAGTCTATTAAGAAGTATTGCACAGATTATTTATCCTAAGTTTGTGTTCCGGAAGAGTAAGCATGCGTTGGGTGCTACTGGATTGCTGTGTGTTTTTGAAAAAACATTAGTTCTGGTTATTAGAGAACCATGTGCTGAGTAGGGCTGGATCCCATCAGCACATCTGTTGGTATTTTTGGTGCCTGTCTTTCCTCTGGACACCTGTGGCTTTGGAGGTGGCATGGGAATGCCAGCGGGAGCTTATGTGGTGAAGCCCTGTAGCTCCTGAGGAAGAGTGTGCCAAAGTCAAGGGCCACTCAGGGGTCTGGCCCGCAGAAGCCCTGGATCACAGTGACTGGGAGTGCTAGAAAGGAAGATGGGTCCTGCTTGTCAGTGTGGTGGGGGATTCTAGCATTAGAGAAATGCTAAACTCAAGACCTCCCAGCCCCTTCCGCTGCTGAGATCCTGAGAGCTTGAGAGTGTCTGTTGGGGTGGCTGGTTTATGATGGATGAGTTTGATCTGGGGCACACTCATAAAAGCCGTCCTTTGATTGATGGCAGAGCTGCCCACGCTTTGTCCTCTCCAAATCTGTACTCCATCCAGAGCAAGAATCTGTAAAGTCCCAAGTTTTTAAAACTGAAGGAAGTTTCCCAGCTGACTTGCCTGAGCACAGGACTGGAGTCTAGAGGAACCTCTGCAAGTGACCTCTGCAGCGTTTTCTCGGGCAAGACAATAACTTATATTTTCACATTTTCAGTGACCTCATATCTAATTTCCTGACCATGCAATAAAAATATTTTGACGAGAAATAAGGGCACAGGCAAAGCTTTCTCACAGCAGATTTACTCTGCAAAATATCCAACTAAAAACAATGTCATTGAGGAAGCGAGAGAGATTAGAAACAAAAATGGCTAATAGACAACCATCTAAGACACCTTGGCAGAAATATCAGTGTCAATGATGGAAACATTGATACACTGAAAGCTCTTCATCAGGCCCACATAAAACCCAGCAGAACTTTAGGAGAAAGGAACCGAGTAGCTTCTACTGTAAGTAAGCCCGGACTGGGTGGTATCTAGTGCCAGAGTGTGGCCAGCCCAGGGGGAGAGGGAGGGAGGAGAGGGAGGTGGAGGCAGGGGAGTAGAGGAGGCCCTAGATGACTGTGACAGAATGCCTGACTCATTTTCAGGTGCTCAGCAGGCCCCTTCCCAGTCTGCACCATCAGCCCTCCCAGGGGTGAGGGATAGGGCAGGGTGCCCACTGCTGGGATGCAGCCTTGGAGGGTGCACTTCTGGCTCAGAGTCCATAGTCGGTTCTCCCTCCCTCCGTCCTCCTCCTACTCCTTCCTTCCCACCTCCCATTGCCTGCACCAAACTCCATTTCCTCCCCTTTTCTTTGTATCAGAGAAGCAGAGGCAGTGGGGAGGGGCCTCTCAGGGCCTGTGGCCATGGAGCGGCTGCCCCGTACCATGGACAAGAGCCCCCTGGCCTTCTCCATGGACACAGACAAATGGAGAGACTTCTCAAAAAAAAAAAAGGGACTGGGCCCTCTGTCCACACAGCCAGGCATGTTCAAACAAAGGAGATCCACTCAGCAACTATTTCCTGTAAAACCATTCTACTCAACAGCCACCATGGGCAAAACCTGACAGGTCACAAGGTCGAGAACCATCCGCCTGGGCCCTGGAAGGATGACAGCGGGGAGACACACAAATGCACCGTCTCGCCCTCTTCTGCCAGCATCTGCTGCTGCCCAGATCTGGGTTCTCACTAGGACTCCTTATGCAGAATAAGGGTTGGGTGCCATGAAAAAGACACAGCCTGTGCTTGGGGTGGGGTGTCCTGCAGGGACATCAGGAGAGGCAGTGGCAGGGACCTCCGTGCAGGGCTGTGGGAGATGGGTGGGTTCTAGTGGGGGACATGGAGGGAGAGGTCCCAGGCAGCGCCCACAGCCTGAGCAAGGCCCAGAGGATGGTGCCAGGGGCTATCAGGAAGGGGCAGCCCATCTGCAGGGCCATGCCTGGCATCCTGGTGTTGTGCCCACGCACTCCACATTGGGCAGGGTGCCCGCTTTGGCTGAGCATCAAAAGGAGGCAGGGCTCCCCATCAACATGTGGTCTGCCCTGCATCGTGTGAGCACACAGGTGCACTTACACACCCAAGTGTGCGACAGAAAACTGGGAGGGGCTGTGATAGCTAAACCCCGATGGGGTGGGGGCAGGCTTGACAATGTTGAAGACTAAGGGGGTGAGGTCCCTTCATCCCCTGCATGCTGGCAGGTAAATGACATCATCAGTGCTGGGTTTTGATGCTTGTTTTAAAGAACATTTTTTTCTTTTGTTGTTGTTGTTGAGATGGCGTCTCACTCTTTTGCCCAGGCTGGAATGCAGTGGCGAGACCTCGGCTCACTGCAACCTCCGCCTCCCAGGTGCAAGCTATTCTCCTGCCTCTGCCTCCCAAGTAACTGGGATTACAGGCGCTCGCCACCAAGCCCGGCTAATTTTTTATATTTTTAGTAGAGATGGGGTTTCACCATGTTGGCCAGGCTAGTCTTGAACTCCTGACCTCAAGTGATCCACCTCGGCCTCCCAAAGTGCTGGGATTACAGGCGTGAGCCACTGCACCCGGCAAGAACATTTATCTTGCATCAGGGGACACAACAGAGTGGAACAGATGTTTGCAGAGGAAAGGCCCCCACGGGGGAAATCGGTGGCAGAGGGACAGCTCAGTAGGGAGAAGCAGGGCAGTGGGATCCGTGCCTGGGGAGGGGTGAGGGCGGAGGAGTAGGAGCGTTCTGCCAAGAGTGCCTGGGGGAAAGGGTTGCGCTGGAAGGGGGATACAGCTAGTGCCAATTTGGGGAGCCGTGGTGAGTTCTGTCTAAGATATGTTTACAAAAAGAATCTAAAAGATAACACACATGAGTCTCCCCATTGGCCTAGAGTGACCTGAAGGTCCTTTCTTTAGTTGCCTGCATGTAATGTGGAAGGAGGGAAAAATCAGCTGCTTATCAATGAGAATGTCGCAGCCTCATAGGAAATGTTACCTGTCAGGTGCCTGTCCGGGAAGCCATGTGGTGATGCCGCCTTGGCTTCTCCGATTCGCGGAGGCCAAAACCCTCAGAAACACCTGCTGGGGAGCCACAGGGGCCCTGGGCCTCCCTGAGGAAGACCCCAAAAGGGGAAGCCCTGCCTATCAACACTCATTTCAATGTAATGTAGCATTAACATCCAATTAAAGGGATTACAGCCATTTTTAATCATGACTTATTGTTCAGCTCTCTTAAAATGTGGAGAGTTTTTTGTGGTTGGTAAATCAAATGTTGATTGATTCTCCATTTGCAGAGGCTGTGACAGAAAGCGTTTTCATCCCCAAGTTGCATTCACTGGACACTGACCCATCTGAAAGGCACAGTGGCCTAATACACATGGTCTGTTTTAATGGAATTTTCTAGGAGGCTCCAGGTTGGCCCACAGAAAGGACACCACAACGGGAAAATCACGAAGGCAGCACAGGTCTTTTCCAACTTGTCCATCCTGATACCTGCTGATCCTGAGAGGGACCCCAGAAAGTAGGTAGGACAGGTGTCCTTAGGCTGCTTCCAGCTGCAGCTGTGCTGAGAAGTGAATGACTTACTCAGGGGTGTCCAGAGCTGGAGCCCAGTTCTCCCAACTACCACCCTCCCTCCCACCAGGGGACTGAGATACTTCCTGCTACCCCTAACCAGCCCCACTGAGGGAGGGTCAGGAAGAAAAAGCATCAGATTGTGTCTCATAAGACCACAAGGTGGGAAGGAGGTTGTTTGCTTTTTCAAAGCACCCAAGTCCTACGAGAATATGTTCTCGTTGTAAAAAATCCCCAATGGTCCAGAAATACAAGAGCAAAAAGAAAGTGTTTCTCTTGACCCTTCCTCCGTTCTGCTGTAGGAACCCTTGCCAGCTTTGGTGTGTCCTTCCAGATGGTCTTAGAGTTTGAATACATCCGTGTGCATCATACACATATGCTGATACGGGGGTGGGAGGACTTTACCTAAAAAGGACTCTTTTTTTTGCATGGTTCCACAATTTGACTTTTTAAAATATTTCCTGGAGATGTTTCCATGATGATACATAGATCTACCTCATTTTTTTAACTATTTCGTAGAATTCCACAGTGTAGATGAACTATAGTTTAGTCTTCTGTTGATGGATATTAGATTTAATTTTTTTTACTGTTCAAGAAATGAAGTAGTGAATTTTCTTCTGTGTATCTCTATGTGCACATATTACTGTGTCTCTAGGGTTGACAATGGGTGTGCCATCTCTGAGTTGAAGGGAAGCACATTTAAATGTCGATAGGGATGCCAAATGCTCCTCTTAAGACACTGGACAAGTCTGTGCTCCTGTGTCCCCACACCTTTATGGCACTGGCTGTGAACAGTCTTGTCATTTTGGCCAATTCGATGAAAAGAAAAATATTACACTGTTTTAATTTCCATTTTCTGGATAATAGATTGTACCTCTCTTTATGTTCATGGGCCTTATTTTTTCTTATCACAATGTATGCCAGTACATGTCCATGTATCAGTTGAGTTATTTGTTCTTTTTCTACGAACATGTAGGGGTTCTTTATGTTTCTCAAAAATAATAATAATAATAATCTCTTAAGCATCCTTTGCCAATCTCCAAATCCAACATTTACCTTTTAACTTTACTTTTTTACACGGAAGTGTTTATTAATGAACACAATCTGTCAATCTCATACTACGTGGCTCCTCGGTTTGTGTCTTATATCCTTACCCCAAAGTTACATGAATGTTGCCTTAATCTTCCTCAAATACCTTTATATTGTGTTTCTTACGTTTGGTGCAGTAATTTATCTATCAGATAATTTTGTGGATGTGGTGCAAGCTGAAGTTCTAGCTTTATTTTTTTCTAAATGTTTAATGAAGTGTCCCAACTCCACTTACTATTTCATTATTCTGTTCCAGCAAGTCTCAAACTTTTTGGTCTCAAGACTCCTTTACACATTGAAAAATTATTAAGGACCGCCAAAGAGCTTTTGTGTATATTTTGAAGATAGATAGATAGATAGATAGATAGATAGATAGATAGATAGATAGTTATCATGTTGGAAATTAGAACTAAAAAAATTTTAAAACACAAGAATGCACAAGCCCACATTGTATTTGAATGAGAGCAAGGACATCATCTCCCTGGCCATTCTGGAATCCGGGAATTCTGGACATGTAACATATGTGGTCCCATGATCTCTCACCTTTTGTGATCCTCCAAATACTGACGCATCCTAACCATTCTGCCTCCTGCACAACCTTCTTCCCTTACGTACCTTCCTGCTGCAAACAGAGCCCCTATTCCCTTAGGGCAGGAAGCTGGTCCTTCCCTGCCCTGTCCTGTCCCCAGTGCAGGGCTGGGTGCATAGAAGGACACAGAGCCTGCACTTCTGGGATTAGGCAGGAACTCGAGAGAAGGGTCTCTGCAGAGCAGTGCTTGTCAGAGTTTTTCAATTCCACAAACGTTTAGTGAGTACCGCAGTGTGCAACCTCTTAGGCTAGGGCTGTGGGGAATGTAAAGCCATCCTTCTGGCCACAACGGGGACAAACTTTCTTAGCAGGGGTTGTGGGGGAGACAGAGGTGCAGTGGTAGCTGCTATGATTTGAAACCCATCCTCGATGCAGTAAACAAAGTCCCAGCTGCTTATGAAATTGGCTTCCAGTAGAATTGGGTTGTTTCCTCTCCTTTCTCTTTCTAAAAAAAGACGGTAAATGGGTTTTGATACCTTTAAAAGAAATTTCTGTTTCTTGACCTTATTATGGCATAGATATTTTCAGCATATAGCCAGTGGGCCAGTAAGGAATGTGTGTCTGTATATCTGTATCTGAGTCTGAGAGTGGATGTGAAAGGGAACAAACCATGTCAGCTGCCACAGGTTCGCGAATCCTGGAGAAGCAGGGGGTTGGGGTAGGTCTAGGGCCACCTGCCCCTTGGCAAGAATTAGGAAGGGGACCAGCCTAAGACTCTTCTGTCATCCCAGCAGAGCAGACTTCCGGCATTCAAGTCCTAGCTCTGCTATTTCTCAAGCAAATTACTTCATTGCTTTCTGCCTCAGTTTCCCTGTGTGTTAAGAGGGAGTCATGCTTCTCCCTGGGTCACTCTGAGGTTTAAGCAGAACAGGACCTGACACACCCCAGTGATGCCAGCCATTGTTATGAATGATGATGCTGACGGTTCCTTGAGACCTCCTGAGTCAGCTGGGTCCCAGGGTGTGGGTAGTGCCAGCAGGCTGCATCTTGCATCTCGCATCCTACTTTGGATTCATGTCATTTTGACACAGCTGCAAGCTGACAGTGGAACTGCATTCTGCAATTTACAAAATGTGTCTAAAGCACATGAGATATTAATAGAAAAGCTGGCCGGGCATGGTGGCTCACACCTGTAATCCCAGCACTTTGGGAGGATCACCTGAGGTCAGGAGTCCGAGACCAGCCTGGCCAACATGGTGAAACCCCGTCTCTACTAAAAATACAAAACTTAGCCATGCATGGTGGTGGGCACCTGTAATCCCAGCTACTCGGGAGGCTGAGGCAGCAGAATCACTTGAACCTGGGAGGCGGAGGTTGCAGTGAGCTGAGATCATGCCACTGTACTCCAGCCTGGGCAACAAAAGCAAAACTTCATCTCAAATATATATATATATATATATATATATGCTGTATTTTTTTATTGTTGCTATAAACCTTTAGAATTCTATATCCGCTGGCTATGATGCCTCCCGATGAGGGTAAGGAGCATAGTTGACATTGTCAAAGGAGCTGCAGCCACTTTCAGTCTGGGATTGTCACTGCTCGTACATGCCAGGTTTCATATGGTTCATACATAGGAATGTTATATGCATTTTGACTTTGCCATCATTCTACCTGGGTCGTAAACTCTTGGTGACACATAAGTATTTCTAGGATTGCAGTTTGGTTCTTCATGTATTATTCAGTAAATAAATCTGGTTCTGTTCTTGATTCTTTTCTACCCTGGCTATTTCTTGTTTCCGTTCCATGTGTCCCCTCCTCTTTCTGTCTCTTGTCTTCCTTGTAGCTGATCCAAACCCATCACTAGTGTCTAATGTCATCTCCCTCTCACACACCCCAGCTTTCCTGACTCAGTCTTCCCACTGGCTCCCGCATTGTGTTCCCTGGACTCTACTTCACCTCTTCTTTCCAGCCAGTGCATGGCCTGAATCCCAGGGGAGTTGCCTCCCAAGTCTGTCCCCTCCTGGCAGGGGGGATGTGGGTGGAGAGAGGGGCCTCTTTAGCCCCGTTCTGTGGGAAGGCAGTTGAGAATGAGACCATCTTTGCTGCCTGGGCCACCATCCATGTGTCCCCATGTGCACACAGAGCCCCCACTGTAGCCATTTGCCCAGCAGGGGTTGCCTAGGCTGGCAGCAGCTGTGGGTAGGGGGTCTGCCTTCCTGTGTCTCTCTGGTTCCCTACCACTCCCCGCTACCGTCTCCTTCTAGAGCAGACCCAGTGGTTTAGTGCGATGTTGAAAGTCAGTCAACAGGCAGAAGCCCATTCACTCCTGTTTTGTGTGCAGCCTTGTATGCCCAGATGGTGGCATCGGTTAACCATGGCACAGCAGACCACGGCACCGCACTGGGTAATGTGCTCAGCCCTCTGGTCTAAAGATGAATTATCTCCAGCCTGGAGAAGATCATCACTGACATGTTCCAGCATGATGTATATGGCATTCATCCTCGGAAACATTAGGAGAGCAGGCGCGTTTCTTTCTCCATCCTGTAATGTATCGATAGCGGATGCCAGATGTATGTGTAAACTCCCAGACCCAGGATGAATGGATTTTTCCCCCTGAGAAATATCTGTATCCTGTAAATAGAATGTTATAAACATTTGTGGGACAGAAAAAGTCTCTGGCCTTTTCACATTGCCACACTCTCGGGTGATGGATCTGATCTGCTGAAGAGCACCAAGCTTTTTCCCTTTGTGTTGGACACGTCTTGTGGAACTCTTGACTTCCTCTCTCTCTATGTCCTGCGAGAACTCGTGGTTCCCAGCTGCCTATCAAGCAGCTGAGGATGGCCTTATAGGTCAGGGGTTGGCTGAAGGGCTGAGAAAACTCCCCCAGGTAAAAATACCCCTCACCCTGACGTCACTCCGAGAAATCCCACCGCCGGTTCAGGGGCTTATTTTTCCTTCTTCCCCTTCTCTGTAAGCAGAGAAGAGGCCGTCCACTAAAGCAGAGGGCTTTCTGGGCCTCAGAAGCCATTCTCCTCAGGGGAGACGCCTGTTGGCACTGCAGTCCTCAGCATTCAGAAGCCAAAATTAGAGTCTGTGATTGATGTGCGAGTCAATATGTCGTCCTTTCACCCAGAGCCTGAGCTGCAGCCAACTCAAACCAGTGTGCTTCCTGATCAGGATGCCACAGTCGCTGGCTCCACAGTGAGGCACAGAAAAAGGTGAAGTTCAAGTAGAAGTCAGAGGAAAGAAGTGAGTAGGTGATGCCCAGGAAACCCTCCAGGCATCACGGAGCCACAGAGGCTGCTCCACGCCGGGGCAGGTGACACCCCCTGCCCTGACGGAGGCCTCCATCTGGTTAGACGAAATTCCCGGAAGAGCAGGAAGCAAGGCAAGGCCGGGTGAGAGAGAGGCCAGCAACTAGAGAGAGGCCTGTGCCCGGGGGTGTTTCGGTTCCAGGCCTCCATCACATCCACTTCTTGCGCGGTCCCTCACTTCCGCTTGCCTCCTTGACTCGCATCACCGTCCTGGAGGCTGTGGTGTGCTTCTTCTCTGTCTGGTCCATCGTTGGCCTCTCAGGATTCCACACCTACTTGATCAGCTCCAACCAGACAACAAATGAGGACGTAAGTTCCTGACCACACGGGACACGGGCGTGTTCTTGGGTTTTGGGCAATGGAGGAGAAAAAGGAAAGAAAAGGTTGAGCCCAGCTTTTCCCATACATCCCGTTCCAGATGTGAGCCCTTGGGAACAGAGACGGTGCCGTGGAAACTTCTCCACCTGCCGTTCTGCACGTTTCTCTTCTGGGAATCTCCACGTTCTCTGTTTTTCCGACCACATCCATTAGTTACTAAGATTGGCCAAGCAACACCCATTTCTGGCCCTGAAGAGAGTGTTCTTTGTATTCCTTTGAAATGGTTTCGTAAGCTTCTTATCACACTTCCCCTGGTAGAGACCATGGCGGGCCAACATCTTGGAGTGAACGTTTGAGTCTGCCTTTCATATTTAATGTCTCTGTGGGAGGAAATTGCCCTGACCCAAAATTTAACTTTTTTATTCAGGATTATCTGCCTGCACTTAATACAGATGGAGAGGAAGTATGAAAATAGGAAACAAGGCCGGGCGCGGTGGCTCATGCCTGTAATCCCAGCACTTCGGGAGGCCGAGGCAGGCGGATCACGAGGTCAGGAGATCGAGGCCATCCCGGCTAACACAGTGAAATCCCGTCTCCACTAAAAATACAAAAAAATGAGCCGGGTGTGGTGGCAGGCGCTTGTAATCCCAGCTATTCAGGAGGCTGAGACCAGAGAATCGCTTGAACCCAGGAGGCAGA